>NT_187690.1:0-164170 GCF_000001405.40 Homo sapiens
GAATTCTTCCCTGAGACTTTGTCTCTCTGAGTATCATCTTGCCAACTATCTAGGAGCACTGAGGTTGAAAAAAAGGGTGGGAGCGGTGGCTCACACCTTTAATCCCAGTACTTTGAGAGTCTGAAGCAGGAGGATCGCTTGAGGCCGGGAGTTCGACACCAGCCTAGGCAACATAGCAAGATTCCACCTCTACAGAAATAAAAAAATTACCCAGGCATGGTTGTGTGTGCCTGTAGTCCCAGCTACTCAGAAGGCCAATTACACCGCTGAACTTCAGCCTGGGTGACAGAAGACCCTGTCTCTCTTTCTCTCTCTCTCTTTCTTTCTCTCTCTCTCTCTTTCTTCTCTCTCTCTCTCTCTCTATATATATATGTTTAAAAAGAAAAAAGAAAGAAGTTTGAGAACAGCTAGGGAACTAATGAAAACCCAAAAGAGTCAGTTTCTAAGAGAAAAAAAAAGGCAAGTTTTCTTGGTTTCTTCTTGGTTCAGAGACTCAGAGGCTAAGGTAATATTCACGAAGATGGTATGTGGCTAGTGCAGGTGCTGTGAAATATTTTAAACAAAAAAAGCCAATATTTAAACATTCTGCCTGGGAAATATTTTTCTTTATTTATTTAATATCTATTTTTATTATTATTATTATTATTTTTATTTTTTAAGACACAGGGTCTCGCTATCTTGCCCAGGCTGGTCTCAAACTCCTGGCCTCGAGTGATCCTCCCACCTTGGCCTCCCAAAATGCTGGGATTACAGACATGAGCCACCATGCCTGGCCTCTGCCTGGGAAATAATTTTTTTTTAAAAAGTGGTTATGGTCAATAATATTAGCTTCTTGGTAGTCTGTGACCAGGGCAAGAGTATATGCATTTACCCCTTGGGTTTTTTACCAGATTGGCACAGATGTTAACAACGAAAAAGAAAAGTAGAAATTTAATTTATTTTTAAGAAAGATAATGCTATAATTCAAGTTGAGAGAGTTAACCCGGCTTATAGCAGGGGTACTGTTTGCCTCTTCCCATGGAGTTTAACACAGTTAATTCACCATTCTAGTCTAACCTCACCTTCCTCCTCACAAGGAAGACAGGCGGGAGCTGGAGAAGACCATTGGCTATATTCCTGCAACTGTGCTTTTTCTAGGCGATTTGAAGCAGTGCTTATCAGGGGCCTTCCTCTGTGGGAATCCTGCACCCCCATCTCTCTCTCCTTTTTTATTTTATTTATTTATTTTTTTTTTGAGACAGAATCTTGCTCTGTCGCCCAGGCTGCAGTGAAGTGGCATGATGTCTGCTCACTGCAACCTCCACCTCCTGGGTTCAAGCAATTCTCCTGCCTCAGCCTTTTGAGTAACTGGGATTACAGGCACCCACCACCACGCCCAGCTATTTCTGTATTTTTTTTTCTAGTAGAGACGGGGTTTTGCCATATTGCCCAGGCTGGTCTCGCACTCCTGACCTCAAGTGATCCACCCATCTCAGCCTCCCAAAGTGCTGGGATTGCAGGTGGGGCTACCATGCCCGGCCCCATCTCTTATTATTTTTTTATCCCCCAAATATGTACAGTTGTGATATATTAATTTTTCATTTTTTCTTTTTATTTCTTTTCATTTTTACTTTAAGTTTCAGGATACATGTGCAGAACGTGCAGGTTTGTTACACAGGTATATATGTGCCATGGTGGTTTACTGCACCTATCAACCCATCACCTGCATGTATTAGCTATTTATCCTGACGCTCTTCCTCCCCTTGTCCCGTCCCTGACAGGCGCCAGTGTGTGTTGTTCCCCTCTCTGTGTCCATGTGTTCTCATTGTTCAACTCCAACTTATGAGTGAAAACATGCAGTGTTTGGTTTTCTGTTCCCCTGTTAGTTTGTTGAGGATGATGGCTTTCAGCTTCATCCATGTACCTGCAAAGGACGTGATCCCATTCCTTTTTCATGGCTGCATAGTATTCCGTGCTGCATATGTACCACATTTTCTTTATCCAGTCTATCACTGATGGACATTTGGGTTGGTTTCATGTCTTTACTATTGTAAATAGTGCTGCAGTAAACATACGTGTGCATGTATCTTTATAACAGAATGATTTATATTCCTTTGGGCATATACCCAGTAATGGGATTGCTGGGTCAAATGGTATTTCTGGTTCTAGATCCTTGAGGAATCGCCACACTGTCTTCCACAATGGTTGAACTGATTTACACTCCCACCAACAGTGTAAAAGCGTTCCTATTTCACCACAGCCTTGCCAGCATCTGCTGTTTCTTGACTTTTTAATAATTGCCATTCTGAGTGGTGTGAGATGATATCCCTTTGTAGTTTTGATTTGCATTTCTCTAATGATCCATGATGATGAGCCTTTTTTCATATGTTTGTTGGTGGCATAAATGTCTTCTTTTGATAAGTGTCTGTTCATATCCTTTGCCTGCTTTTTGATGGGGTTGTTTATTTTTTTCTTGTAAATTTAAGTTCCTTGTAAATTCTGGATATTAGACCTCTGTCAGATGGTTAGATTGCAAAAATTTTCTCATTTTGTAGGTTGCCTGTTTGCTCTGATGATAGTTTCTTTTGCTGTGCAGAGCTCTTTAGTTTAATTAGATCCCATTTGTCAATTTTAGCTTTTGTTGCAAGTGCTTTTGGAGATTTCATCATAAAATCTTTGCCTATGTCTATGTCCTGAATGGTATTGCCTAGGTTTTCTTCTAGGGTTTTCATGGTTTGGGGTTTTACATGTAAGTCTTTAACCTGCCTTGAGTTAATTTTTGTATAAGGTGTAAGGAAGGGGTCCAGTTTCAGTTTTCTGCATATGGCTAACCAGTTTTCCCAGCACCATTTATTGAATAGAGAATCCTTTCCCCATTGCCTGCTTTTGTCAGGTTTGTCAAAGATCAGATGGTTGTAGATGTGTGGTCTTATTTCCAAGGTATCTATTCTGTTCCATTGGTTTATATGTCAGTTTTGGTACCAGTACCATGCTGTTTTGGTTACTGTAGCCTTGTAGTATAGTTTGAAGTCAGGTAGCCTCCCACTTTGTTCTTTTTGCTTAGGATTGTCTTGGCTATTTGGGTTCTTTTTTGATTCCATATGAATTTTAAAGTAGTTTGTTCTCATTCTGTGAAGAATGGTAGTTTTCACATCCTTTGTTAGCTGTATTCCTAGGTATTTTATTCTATTTGTAGCAATTGTGAATAGGAGTTCATTCATGATTTAGCTCTCTGCTTGCCTATTTTGGTTCACTCCAGGAACCACAGAGGACACATTAATAACTGGAAGTAAAACTGCTGCCCCAGTCACCTCAACAGGCTCAACAACAGCGACACTAGAGGGACAATCAACTGCAGCTTCTTCAAGGACCTCTAATCAGGACATATCAGCTTCATCTCAGAACCACCAGACTAAGAGCACGGAGACCACCAGCAAAGCTCAAACCGACACCCTCACGCAGATGATGACATCAACTCTTTTTTCTTCCCCAAGTGTACACAATGTGATGGAGACAGCTCCTCCAGATGAAATGACCACATCATTTCCCTCCAGTGTCACCAACACACTCATGATGACATCAAAGACTATAACAATGACAACCTCCACAGACTCCACTCTTGGAAACACAGAAGAGACATCAACAGCAGGAACTGAAAGTTCTACCCCAGTGACCTCAGCAGTCTCAATAACAGCTGGACAGGAAGGACAATCACGAACAACTTCCTGGAGGACCTCTATCCAAGACACATCAGCTTCTTCTCAGAACCACTGGACTCGGAGCACGCAGACCACCAGGGAATCTCAAACCAGCACCCTAACACACAGAACCACTTCAACTCCTTCTTTCTCTCCAAGTGTACACAATGTGACAGGGACTGTTTCTCAGAAGACATCTCCTTCAGGTGAAACAGCTACCTCATCCCTCTGTAGTGTCACAAACACATCCATGATGACATCAGAGAAGATAACAGTGACAACCTCCACAGGCTCCACTCTTGGAAACCCAGGGGAGACATCATCAGTACCTGTTACTGGAAGTCTTATGCCAGTCACCTCAGCAGCCTTAGTAACATTTGATCCAGAAGGACAATCACCAGCAACTTTCTCAAGGACTTCTACTCAGGACACAACAGCTTTTTCTAAGAACCACCAGACTCAGAGCGTGGAGACCACCAGAGTATCTCAAATCAACACCCTCAACACCCTCACACCGGTTACAACATCAACTGTTTTATCCTCACCAAGTGGATTCAACCCAAGTGGAACAGTTTCTCAGGAGACATTCCCTTCTGGTGAAACAACCACCTCATCCCCTTCCAGTGTCAGCAATACATTCCTGGTAACATCAAAGGTGTTCAGAATGCCAACCTCCAGAGACTCTACTCTTGGAAACACAGAGGAGACATCACTATCTGTAAGTGGAACCATTTCTGCAATCACTTCCAAAGTTTCAACCATATGGTGGTCAGACACTCTGTCAACAGCACTCTCCCCCAGTTCTCTACCTCCAAAAATATCCACAGCTTTCCACACCCAGCAGAGTGAAGGTGCAGAGACCACAGGACGGCCTCATGAGAGGAGCTCATTCTCTCCAGGTGTGTCTCAAGAAATATTTACTCTACATGAAACAACAACATGGCCTTCCTCATTCTCCAGCAAAGGCCACACAACTTGGTCACAAACAGAACTGCCCTCAACATCAACAGGTGCTGCCACTAGGCTTGTCACAGGAAATCCATCTACAGGGACAGCTGGCACTATTCCAAGGGTCCCCTCTAAGGTCTCAGCAATAGGGGAACCAGGAGAGCCCACCACATACTCCTCCCACAGCACAACTCTCCCAAAAACAACAGGGGCAGGCGCCCAGACACAATGGACACAAGAAACGGGGACCACTGGAGAGGCTCTTCTCAGCAGCCCAAGCTACAGTGTGACTCAGATGATAAAAACGGCCACATCCCCATCTTCTTCACCTATGCTGGATAGACACACATCCCAACAAATTACAACGGCACCATCAACAAATCATTCAACAATACATTCCACAAGCACCTCTCCTCAGGAATCACCAGCTGTTTCCCAAAGGGGTCACACTCAAGCCCCGCAGACCACACAAGAATCACAAACCACGAGGTCCGTCTCCCCCATGACTGACACCAAGACAGTCACCACCCCAGGTTCTTCCTTCACAGCCAGTGGGCACTCGCCCTCAGAAATTGTTCCTCAGGACGCACCCACCATAAGTGCAGCAACAACCTTTGCCCCAGCTCCCACCGGGGATGGTCACACAACCCAGGCCCCGACCACAGCACTGCAGGCAGCACCCAGCAGCCATGATGCCACCCTGGGGCCCTCAGGAGGCACGTCACTTTCCAAAACAGGTGCCCTTACTCTGGCCAACTCTGTAGTGTCAACACCAGGGGGCCCAGAAGGACAATGGACATCAGCCTCTGCCAGCACCTCACCTGACACAGCAGCAGCCATGACCCATACCCACCAGGCTGAGAGCACAGAGGCCTCTGGACAAACACAGACCAGCGAACCGGCCTCCTCAGGGTCACGAACCACCTCAGCGGGCACAGCTACCCCTTCCTCATCCGGGGCGAGTGGCACAACACCTTCAGGAAGCGAAGGAATATCCACCTCAGGAGAGACGACAAGGTTTTCATCAAACCCCTCCAGGGACAGTCACACAACCCAGTCAACAACCGAATTGCTGTCCGCCTCAGCCAGTCATGGTGCCATCCCAGTAAGCACAGGAATGGCGTCTTCGATCGTCCCCGGCACCTTTCATCCCACCCTCTCTGAGGCCTCCACTGCAGGGAGACCGACAGGACAGTCAAGCCCAACTTCTCCCAGTGCCTCTCCTCAGGAGACAGCCGCCATTTCCCGGATGGCCCAGACTCAGAGGACAAGAACCAGCAGAGGGTCTGACACTATCAGCCTGGCGTCCCAGGCAACCGACACCTTCTCAACAGTCCCACCCACACCTCCATCGATCACATCCACTGGGCTTACATCTCCACAAACCGAGACCCACACTCTGTCACCTTCAGGGTCTGGTAAAACCTTCACCACGGCCCTCATCAGCAACGCCACCCCTCTTCCTGTCACCTACGCTTCCTCGGCATCCACAGGTCACACCACCCCTCTTCATGTCACCGATGCTTCCTCAGTATCCACAGGTCACGCCACCCCTCTTCCTGTCACCAGCCCTTCCTCAGTATCCACAGGTCACACCACCCCTCTTCCTGTCACCGACACTTCCTCAGAATCCACAGGTCACGTCACCCCTCTTCCTGTCACCAGCTTTTCCTCAGCATCCACAGGTGACAGCACCCCTCTTCCTGTCACTGACACTTCCTCAGCATCCACAGGTCACGTCACCCCTCTTCCTGTCACCAGCCTTTCCTCAGCATCCACAGGTGACACCACCCCTCTTCCTGTCACTGACACTTCCTCAGCATCCACAGGTCACGCCACCTCTCTTCCTGTCACCGACACTTCCTCAGTATCCACAGGTCACACCACCCCTCTTCCTGTCACCGACACTTCCTCAGCATCCACAGGTCACGCCACCTCTCTTCCTGTCACCGACACTTCCTCAGTATCCACAGGTCACACCACCCCTCTTCATGTCACTGATGCTTCCTCAGCATCCACAGGTCAGGCCACCCCTCTTCCTGTCACCAGCCTTTCCTCAGTATCCACAGGTGACACCACGCCTCTTCCTGTCACTAGCCCTTCCTCAGCATCCACAGGTCACGCCACCCCTCTTCTTGTCACCGACACTTCCTCAGCATCCACAGGACACGCCACCCCTCTTCCTGTCACCGACGCTTCCTCAGTGTCCACAGATCACGCCACCTCTCTTCCTGTAACCATCCCTTCCGCAGCATCCACAGGTCACACCACCCCTCTTCCTGTCACCGACACTTCCTCAGCATCCACAGGTCAGGCCACCTCTCTTCTTGTCACCGACACTTCCTCAGTATCCACAGGTGACACCACGCCTCTTCCTGTCACTAGCACTTCCTCAGCATCCACAGGTCACGTCACTCCTCTTCATGTCACCAGCCCTTCCTCAGCATCCACAGGTCACGCCACCCCTCTTCCTGTCACCAGCCTTTCCTCAGCATCCACAGGTGACACCATGCCTCTTCCTGTCACTAGCCCTTCCTCAGCATCCACAGGTGACACCACCCCTCTTCCTGTCACCGACGCTTCCTCAGTATCCACAGGTCACACCACCCCTCTTCATGTCACTGATGCTTCCTCAGCATCCACAGGTCAGGCCACCCCTCTTCCTGTCACCAGCCTTTCCTCAGTATCCACAGGTGACACCACGCCTCTTCCTGTCACTAGCCCTTCCTCAGCATCCACAGGTCACGCCACCCCTCTTCTTGTCACCGACACTTCCTCAGCATCCACAGGACACGCCACCCCTCTTCCTGTCACCGACGCTTCCTCAGTGTCCACAGATCACGCCACCTCTCTTCCTGTAACCATCCCTTCCGCAGCATCCACAGGTCACACCACCCCTCTTCCTGTCACCGACACTTCCTCAGCATCCACAGGTCAGGCCACCTCTCTTCTTGTCACCGACACTTCCTCAGTATCCACAGGTGACACCACGCCTCTTCCTGTCACTAGCACTTCCTCAGCATCCACAGGTCACGTCACTCCTCTTCATGTCACCAGCCCTTCCTCAGCATCCACAGGTCACGCCACCCCTCTTCCTGTCACCAGCCTTTCCTCAGCATCCACAGGTGACACCATGCCTCTTCCTGTCACTAGCCCTTCCTCAGCATCCACAGGTGACACCACCCCTCTTCCTGTCACCGACGCTTCCTCAGTATCCACAGGTCACACCACCCCTCTTCCTGTCACCAGCCCTTCCTCAGCATCTACAGGTCACACCACCCCTCTTCCTGTCACCGACACTTCCTCAGCATCCAAAGGTGACACCACCCCTCTTCCTGTCACCAGCCCTTCCTCAGCATCTACAGGTCACACCACCCCTCTTCCTGTCACCGACACTTCCTCAGCATCCACAGGTGACACCACCCCTCTTCCTGTCACCAATGCTTCCTCATTATCCACAGGTCACGCCACCCCTCTTCATGTCACCAGCCCTTCCTCAGCATCCACAGGTCACGCCACCCCTCTTCCTGTCACCAGCACTTCCTCAGCATCCACCGGTCACGCCACCCCTCTTCCTGTCACCGGCCTTTCCTCAGCTACCACAGATGACACCACCCGTCTTCCTGTCACCGACGTTTCCTCGGCATCCACAGGTCAGGCCACCCCTCTTCCTGTCACCAGCCTTTCCTCAGTATCCACAGGTGACACCACGCCTCTTCCTGTCACTAGCCCTTCCTCAGCATCCACAGGTCACGCCAGCCCTCTTCTTGTCACTGACGCTTCCTCAGCATCCACAGGTCAGGCCACCCCTCTTCCTGTCACCGACACTTCCTCAGTATCCACAGCTCACGCCACCCCACTTCCTGTCACCGGCCTTTCTTCAGCTTCCACAGATGACACCACCCGTCTTCCTGTCACCGACGTTTCCTCGGCATCCACAGGTCAGGCCATCCCTCTTCCTGTCACCAGCCCTTCCTCAGCATCCACAGGTGACACCACCCCTCTTCCTGTCACCGACGCTTCCTCAGCATCCACAGGTGACACCACCTCTCTTCCTGTCACCATCCCTTCCTCAGCATCTTCAGGTCACACCACCTCTCTTCCTGTCACCGACGCTTCCTCAGTGTCCACAGGTCACGCCACCTCTCTTCTTGTCACCGACGCTTCCTCAGTATCCACAGGTGACACCACCCCTCTTCCTGTCACCGACACTAACTCAGCATCCACAGGTGACACCACCCCTCTTCATGTCACCGACGCTTCCTCAGTATCCACAGGTCACGCCACCTCTCTTCCTGTCACCAGCCTTTCCTCAGCATCCACAGGTGACACCACGCCTCTTCCTGTCACTAGCCCTTCCTCAGCATCCTCAGGTCACACCACCCCTCTTCCTGTCACCGACGCTTCCTCAGTACCCACAGGTCACGCCACCTCTCTTCCTGTCACCGACGCTTCCTCAGTGTCCACAGGTCACGCCACCCCTCTTCCTGTCACCGACGCTTCCTCAGTGTCCACAGGTCATGCCACCCCTCTTCCGGTCACCGACACTTCCTCAGTATCTACAGGACAGGCCACCCCTCTTCCTGTCACCAGCCTTTCCTCAGCATCCACTGGTGACACCACGCCGCTTCCTGTCACCGATACTTCCTCAGCATCCACAGGTCAGGACACCCCTCTTCCTGTCACCAGCCTTTCCTCAGTATCCACAGGTGACACCACGCCTCTTCCTGTCACTAACCCTTCCTCAGCATCCACAGGTCACGCCACCCCTCTTCTTGTCACCGACGCTTCCTCAATATCCACAGGTCACGCCACCTCTCTTCTTGTCACCGACGCTTCCTCAGTATCCACAGGTCACGCCACCGCTCTTCATGACACCGATGCTTCCTCATTATCCACAGGGGACACCACCCCTCTTCCTGTCACCAGCCCTTCCTCAACATCCACAGGTGACACCACCCCTCTTCCTGTCACCGAAACTTCCTCAGTATCCACAGGTCACGCCACCTCTCTTCCTGTCACCGACACTTCCTCAGCATCCACAGGTCACGCCACCTCTCTTCCTGTCACCGACACTTCCTCAGCATCCACAGGTCACGCCACCCCTCTTCCTGTCACCGACACTTCCTCAGCATCCACAGGTCAGGCCACCCCTCTTCCTGTCACCAGCCCTTCCTCAGCATCCACAGGTCACGCCATCCCTCTTCTTGTCACCGACACTTCCTCAGCATCCACAGGACAGGCCACCCCTCTTCCTGTCACCAGCCTTTCCTCAGCATCCACAGGTGACACCACCCCTCTTCCTGTCACCGACGCTTCCTCAGTGTCCACAGGTCACGCCACCTCTCTTCCTGTCACCAGCCTTTCCTCAGTATCCACAGGTGACACCACTCCTCTTCCTGTCACTAGCCCTTCCTCAGCATCCACAGGTCACGCCACCCCTCTTCATGTCACCGACGCTTCCTCAGCATCCACAGGTCACGCCACCCCTCTTCCTGTCACCAGCCTTTCCTCAGCATCCACAGGTGACACCACGCCTCTTCCTGTCACTAGCCCTTCCTCAGCATCCACAGGTCACGCCACCCCTCTTCATGTCACCGACGCTTCCTCAGTATCCACAGGTGACACCACCCCTCTTCCTGTCACCAGCTCTTCCTCAGCATCCTCAGGTCACACCACCCCTCTTCCTGTCACCGACGCTTCCTCAGCATCCACAGGTGACACCACCCCTCTTCCTGTCACCGACACTTCCTCAGCATCCACAGGTCACGCCACCCATCTTCCTGTCACCGGCCTTTCCTCAGCTTCCACAGGTGACACCACCCGTCTTCCTGTCACCAACGTTTCCTCGGCATCCACAGGTCATGCCACCCCTCTTCCTGTCACCAGCACTTCCTCAGCATCCACAGGTGACACCACCCCTCTTCCTGGCACCGACACTTCCTCAGTATCCACAGGTCACACCACCCCTCTTCTTGTCACCGACGCTTCGTCAGTATCCACAGGTGACACCACCCGTCTTCCTGTCACCAGCCCTTCCTCAGCATCTACAGGTCACACCACCCCTCTACCTGTCACCGACACTCCCTCAGCATCCACAGGTGACACCACCCCTCTTCCTGTCACCAATGCTTCCTCATTATCCACACGTCACGCCACCTCTCTTCATGTCACCAGCCCTTCCTCAGCATCCACAGGTCACGCCACCTCTCTTCCTGTCACCGACACTTCCGCAGCATCCACAGGTCACGCCACCCCTCTTCCTGTCACCAGCACTTCCTCAGCATCCACAGGTGACACCACCCCTCTTCCTGTCACCGACACTTACTCAGCATCCACAGGTCAGGCCACCCCTCTTCCTGTCACCAGCCTTTCCTCAGTATCCACAGGTGACACCACGCCTCTTCCTGTCACTAGCCCTTCCTCAGCATCCACAGGTCACGCCACTCCTCTTCTTGTCACCGACGCTTCCTCAGCATCCACAGGTCAGGCCACCCCTCTTCCTGTCACCAGCCTTTCCTCAGTATCCACAGGTGACACCACGCCTCTTCCTGTCACTAGCCCTTCCTCAGCATCCACCGGTCATGCCACCTCTCTTCCTGTCACCGACACTTCCTCAGCATCCACAGGTGACACCACCTCTCTTCCTGTCACCGACACTTCCTCAGCATACACAGGTGACACCACCTCTCTTCCTGTCACCGACACTTCCTCATCATCCACAGGTGACACCACCCCTCTTCTTGTCACCGAGACTTCCTCAGTATCCACAGGTGACACCACCCCTCTTCCTGTCACCGACACTTCCTCAGCATCCACAGGTCACGCCACCCCTCTTCCTGTCACCAACACTTCCTCAGTATCCACAGGTCACGCCACCCCTCTTCATGTCACCAGCCCTTCCTCAGCATCCACAGGTCACACCACCCCTCTTCCTGTCACCGACGCTTCGTCAGTGTCCACAGGTCACGCCACCTCTCTTCCTGTCACCGACGCTTCCTCAGTGTTCACAGGTCATGCCACCTCTCTTCCTGTCACCATCCCTTCCTCAGCATCCTCAGGTCACACCACCCCTCTTCCTGTCACCGACGCTTCCTCAGTGTCCACAGGTCACGCCACCTCTCTTCCTGTCACCGACGCTTCCTCAGTGTCCACAGGTCATGCCACCCCTCTTCCTGTCACCGACGCTTCCTCAGTGTCCACAGGTCACGCTACCCCTCTTCCTCTCACCAGCCTTTCCTCAGTATCCACAGGTGACACCACGCCTCTTCCTGTCACCGACACTTCCTCAGCATCCACAGGTCAGGCCACCCCTCTTCCTGTCACCAGCCTTTCCTCAGTATCCACAGGTGACACCACCCCTCTTCCTGTCACCGACACTTCCTCAGCATCCACAGGTCACGCCACCTCTCTTCCTGTCACCGACACTTCCTCAGCATCCACAGGTCACGCCACCCCTCTTCCTGACACCGACACTTCCTCAGCATCCACAGGTCACGCCACCCTTCTTCCTGTCACCGACACTTCCTCAGCATCCATAGGTCACGCCACCTCTCTTCCTGTCACCGACACTTCCTCAATATCCACAGGTCACGCCACCCCTCTTCATGTCACCAGCCCTTCCTCAGCATCCACCGGTCACGCCACCCCGCTTCCTGTCACCGACACTTCCTCAGCATCCACAGGTCACGCCAACCCTCTTCATGTCACCAGCCCTTCCTCAGCATCCACCGGTCACGCCACCCCGCTTCCTGTCACCGACACTTCCTCAGCATCCACAGGTCACGCCACCCCTCTTCCTGTCACCAGCCTTTCCTCAGTATCCACAGGTGACACCACGCCTCTTCCTGTCACTAGCCCTTCCTCAGCATCCACAGGTCACACCACCCCTCTTCCTGTCACCGACACTTCCTCAGCATCCACAGGTCAGGCCACCGCTCTTCCTGTCACCAGCACTTCCTCAGCATCCACAGGTGACACCACCCCTCTTCCTGTCACCGACACTTCCTCAGCATCCACAGGTCAGGCCACCCCTCTTCCTGTCACCAGCCTTTCCTCAGTATCCACAGGTGACACCACGCCTCTTCCTGTCACTAGCCCTTCCTCAGCATCCACAGGTCACGCCACTCCTCTTCTTGTCACCGACGCTTCCTCAGCATCCACAGGTCAGGCCACCCCTCTTCCTGTCACCAGCCTTTCCTCAGTATCCACAGGTGACACCACGCCTCTTCCTGTCACTAGCCCTTCCTCAGCATCCACCGGTCATGCCACCTCTCTTCCTGTCACCGACACTTCCTCAGCATCCACAGGTGACACCACCTCTCTTCCTGTCACCGACACTTCCTCAGCATACACAGGTGACACCACCTCTCTTCCTGTCACCGACACTTCCTCATCATCCACAGGTGACACCACCCCTCTTCTTGTCACCGAGACTTCCTCAGTATCCACAGGTCACGCCACTCCTCTTCTTGTCACCGACGCTTCCTCAGCATCCACAGGTCACGCCACCCCTCTTCATGTCACCAGCCCTTCCTCAGCATCCACAGGTGACACCACCCCTGTGCCTGTCACCGACACTTCCTCAGTATCCACAGGTCACGCCACCCCTCTTCCTGTCACCGGCCTTTCCTCAGCTTCCACAGGTGACACCACCCGTCTTCCTGTCACCGACATTTCCTCGGCATCCACAGGTCAGGCCACCCCTCTTCCTGTCACCAACACTTCCTCAGTATCCACAGGTGACACCATGCCTCTTCCTGTCACTAGCCCTTCCTCAGCATCCACAGGTCACGCCACCCCTCTTCCTGTCACCAGCACTTCCTCAGCATCCACCGGTCACGCCACCCCTGTTCCTGTCACCAGCACTTCCTCAGCATCTACAGGTCACACCACCCCTCTTCCTGTCACCGACACTTCCTCAGCATCCACAGGTGACACCACCCCTCTTCCTGTCACCAGCCCTTCCTCAGCATCTACAGGTCACACCACCCCTCTTCATGTCACCATCCCTTCCTCAGCATCCACAGGTGACACCAGCACTCTTCCTGTCACCGGCGCTTCCTCAGCATCCACCGGTCACGCCACCCCTCTTCCTGTCACCGACACTTCCTCAGTATCCACCGGTCACGCCACGCCTCTTCCTGTCACCAGCCTTTCCTCAGTATCCACAGGTGACACCACCCCTCTTCCTGTCACCGACGCTTCCTCGGCATCCACAGGTCAGGCCACCCCTCTTCCTGTCACCAGCCTTTCCTCAGTATCCACAGGTGACACCACCCCTCTTCTTGTCACCGACGCTTCCTCAGTATCCACAGGTCACGCCACCCCTCTTCCTGTCACCGACACTTCCTCAGCATCCACAGGTGACACCACCCGTCTTCCTGTCACGGACACTTCCTCAGCATCCACAGGTCAGGCCACCCCTCTTCCTGTCACCAGCCTTTCCTCAGTATCCACAGGTGACACCACCCCTCTTCTTGTCACCGACGCTTCCTCAGTATCCACAGGTCACGCCACCCCTCTTCCTGTCACCGACACTTCCTCAGCATCCACAGGTGACACCACCCGTCTTCCTGTCACGGACACTTCCTCAGCATCCACAGGTCAGGCCACCCCTCTTCCTGTCACCATCCCTTCCTCATCATCCTCAGGTCACACCACCCCTCTTCCTGTCACCAGCACTTCCTCAGTATCTACAGGTCACGTCACCCCTCTTCATGTCACCAGCCCTTCCTCAGCATCCACAGGTCACGTCACCCCTCTTCCTGTCACCAGCACTTCCTCAGCATCCACAGGTCACGCCACCCCTCTTCTTGTCACCGACGCTTCCTCAGTGTCCACAGGTCACGCCACGCCTCTTCCTGTCACCGACGCTTCCTCAGCATCCACAGGTGACACCACCCCTCTTCCTGTCACCGACACTTCCTCAGCATCCACAGGTCAGGCCACCCCTCTTCCTGTCACCAGCCTTTCCTCAGTATCCACAGGTGACACCACCCCTCTTCCTGTCACCGACGCTTCCTCAGCATCCACAGGTCACGCCACCCCTCTTCCTGTCACCATCCCTTCCTCAGTATCCACAGGTGACACCATGCCTCTTCCTGTCACTAGCCCTTCCTCAGCATCCACAGGTCACGCCACCCCTCTTCCTGTTACCGGCCTTTCCTCAGCTTCCACAGGTGACACCACCCCTCTTCCTGTCACCGACACTTCCTCAGCATCCACACGTCACGCCACCCCTCTTCCTGTCACCGACACTTCCTCAGCTTCCACAGATGACACCACCCGTCTTCCTGTCACCGACGTTTCCTCGGCATCCACAGGACATGCCACCCCTCTTCCTGTCACCAGCACTTCCTCAGCATCCACAGGTGACACCACCCCTCTTCCTGTCACCGACACTTCCTCAGTATCCACAGGTCACGCCACCTCTCTTCCTGTCACCAGCCGTTCCTCAGCATCCACAGGTCACGCCACCCCCCTTCCTGTCACCGACACTTCCTCAGTATCCACAGGTCACGCCACCCCTCTTCCTGTCACCAGCACTTCCTCAGTATCTACAGGTCACGCCACCCCTCTTCCTGTCACCAGCCCTTCCTCAGCATCCACAGGTCACGCCACCCCTGTTCCTGTCACCAGCACTTCCTCAGCATCCACAGGTGACACCACCCCTCTTCCTGTCACCAATGCTTCCTCATTATCCACAGGTCACGCCACCCCTCTTCATGTCACCAGCCCTTCCTCAGCATCCAGAGGTGACACCAGCACTCTTCCTGTCACCGATGCTTCCTCAGCATCCACCGGTCACGCCACCCCTCTTCCTCTCACCAGCCTTTCCTCAGTATCCACAGGTGACACCACGCCTCTTCCTGTCACCGACACTTCCTCTGCATCCACAGGTCAGGCCACCCCTCTTCCTGTCACCAGCCTTTCCTCAGTATCCACAGGTGACACCACGCCTCTTCCTGTCACCATCCCTTCCTCAGCATCCTCAGGTCACACCACCTCTCTTCCTGTCACCGACGCTTCCTCAGTGTCCACAGGTCACGGCACCCCTCTTCCTGTCACCAGCACTTCCTCAGCATCCACAGGTGACACCACCCCTCTTCCTGTCACCGACACTTCCTCAGCATCCACAGGTCACGCCACCCCTCTTCCTGTCACCGACACTTCCTCAGCATCCACAGGTCACGCCACCCCTCTTCCTGTCACCAGCCTTTCCTCAGTATCCACAGGTCACGCCACCCCTCTTGCTGTCAGCAGTGCTACCTCAGCTTCCACAGTATCCTCGGACTCCCCTCTGAAGATGGAAACACCAGGTAGCTGCCAACTGCCTCGCCTTTATGTCTCCCAGTGGGCCCCTTGGCGGAATTCAGCCTAAGGAGTACCTGAGAACACTGGTGCATTCGCATTACCTGGTGGGGCCGTGTCAGGTCCCACAGGGGAGGAGGTGATGGGTGTGGTGGGTGACAGGCTCACCCTCCTTTGTGCCGCAATCGAAAAGCACTGATGTCGAGAGTAGTTTGGATATGAGCAGGGGAGAGACAAGGAGTTTCCAGCTCCCTCTTCCAGCTCCTGATTTCTTTGAATCTCTTTGACTCTCCTGTTTTGTTACTGTAAGAAACACCCCGCCTTGTCTTTTCACGTGTCCAGGAATGACAACACCGTCACTGAAGACAGACGGTGGGAGACGCACAGCCACATCACCACCCCCCACAACCTCCCAGACCATCATTTCCACCATTCCCAGCACTGCCATGCACACCCGCTCCACAGCTGCCCCCATCCCCATCCTGCCTGAGAGAGGTGAGGCCATACAGGTGAGGCCTGTGCCTTTTGAGGGGTGATGTAACTGAAGGCTCCCTCTCAGCCTACTTCCCACAGTCTCCGCTCTCTCGGGTGGGGAGGGCCTTACCGAGGACAGGGACACAGCATCGGAGTCGCTCCTGAGGGCTGGCTTTGTGCATGGCACTGGGCCAGGAGCTGGAGACAGAGAAATGACCCCAGTGCCATTCAGCAAGGGATAGATGGACGGTCCGGTAGCGGCGGTTAGAGGACTCATCCCAGGGTCTAAGTGCACACAATGGAAGGCCCTAAGGAATGCAGAGCCGGGGATGGAGGAGCACCCCAGGCAGGGAGGAGGGCGGGAACAGCTGGAACAAAGGTGTGGAAGGTATGGGTGTGGAAGGTATGGGTGTGGAAGGTATGGCTGTGGAAGGTATGGGTGTGGAAGGTATGGGTGTGGAAGGTATGGGTGTGGAAGGTATGGATGTGGAAGGTATGGGTGTGGAAGGTATGGGTGTGGAAGGTATGGGTGTGGAAGGTATGGGTGTGGAAGGTATGGGTGTGGAAGGTAAGGGTGTGGAAGGTATGGGTGTGGAAGGTATGGGTGTGGAAGGTATGGGTGTGGAAGGTATGGATGTGGAAGGTATGGGTGTGGAAGGTATGGGTGTGGAAGGTATGACTGTGGAAGGTATGGGTGTGGAAGGTATGGGTGTGGAAGGTATGGGTGTGGAAGGTATGGGTGTGGAAGGTATGGGTGTGGAAGGTATGGGTGTGGAAGGTATGACTGTGGAAGGTATGGGTGTGGAAGGTATGACTGTGGAAGGTATGGGTGTGGAAGGTAAGGGTGTGGAAGGTATGGGTGTGGAAGGTATGGGTGTGGAAGGTATGGGTGTGGAAGGTATGGGTGTGGAAGGTAAGGGTGTGGAAGGTATGGGTGTGGAAGGTATGGGTGTGGAAGGTATGGGTGTGGAAGGTAAGGGTGTGGAAGGTATGGGTGTGGAAGGTATGGGTGTGGAAGGTATGGGTGTGGAAGGTATGGATGTGGAAGGTATGGGTGTGGAAGGTATGGGTGTGGAAGGTATGACTGTGGAAGGTATGGGTGTGGAAGGTATGACTGTGGAAGGTATGGGTGTGGAAGGTATGGGTGTGGAAGGTATGGGTGTGGAAGGTATGGATGTGGAAGGTATGGGTGTGGAAGGTATGGGTGTGGAAGGTATGACTGTGGAAGGTATGGGTGTGGAAGGTATGACTGTGGAAGGTATGGGTGTGGAAGGTATGGGTGTGGAAGGTATGGGTGTGGAAGGTATGGGTGTGGAAGGTATGGATGTGGAAGGTATGGGTGTGGAAGGTATGGGTGTGGAAGGTATGACTGTGGAAGGTATGGGTGTGGAAGGTATGACTGTGGAAGGTATGGGTGTGGAAGGTAAGGGTGTGGAAGGTATGGGTGTGGAAGGTATGGGTGTGGAAGGTATGGGTGTGGAAGGTATGACTGTGGAAGGTATGGCCGTGGAAGGTATGGGTGTGGAAGGTATGGGTGTGGAAGGTATGGGTGTGGAAGGTATGGGTGTGGAAGGTATGGGTGTGGAAGGTATGGGTGTGGAAGGTATGACTGTGGAAGGTATGGGTGTGGAAGGTAAGGGTGTGGAAGGTATGGGTGTGGAAGGTATGGGTGTGGAAGGTATGACTGTGGAAGGTATGGGTGTGGAAGGTATGGGTGTGGAAGGTATGGGTGTGGAAGGTATGGGTGTGGAAGGTATGGGTGCGGAAGGTATGGGTGTGGAAGGTATGGGTGCGGAAGGTATGGGTGTGGAAGGTATGGGTGTGGAAGGTATGGATGCGGAAGGTATGGGTGTGGAAGGTATGGGTGCGGAAGGTATGGGTGCGGAAGGTATGGGTGTGGAAGGTATGGGTGTGGAAGGTATGGGTGTGGAAGGTATGGGTGTGGAAGGTATGGCTGTGGAAGGTATGGGTGTGGAAGGTATGGGTGTGGAAGGTATGACTGTGGAAGGTATGGGTGTGGAAGGTATGGGTGTGGAAGGTATGGGTGTGGAAGGTATGGGTGTGGAAGGTATGGGTGTGGAAGGTATGGGTGTGGAAGGTATGGATGTGGAAGGTATGGGTGTGGAAGGTATGGGTGTGGAAGGTATGACTGTGGAAGGTATGGGTGTGGAAGGTATGGCTGTGGAAGGTATGGGTGTGGAAGGTAAGGGTGTGGAAGGTATGGGTGTGGAAGGTATGGGTGTGGAAGGTAAGGGTGTGGAAGGTATGGGTGTGGAAGTTATGGCCGTGGAAGGTATGGATGTGGAAGGTATGGGTGTGGAAGGTATGACTGTGGAAGGTATGGATGTGGAAGGTATGGGTGTGGAAGGTATGGGTGTGGAAGGTATGACTGTGGAAGGTATGGGTGTGGAAGGTATGGGTGTGGAAGGTATGGGTGTGGAAGGTATGGGTGTGGAAGGTATGGCCGTGGAAGGTATGGGTGTGGAAGGTATGACCGTGGAAGGTATGGCCGTGGAAGGTATGGGTGTGGAAGGTAAGGGTGTGGAAGGTATGGGTGTGGAAGGTATGGGTGTGGAAGGTAAGGGTGTGGAAGGTATGGATGTGGAAGGTATGGGTGTGGAAGGTATGGGTGTGGAAGGTATCGGTGTGGAAGGTATGGGTGTGGAAGGTATGACTGTGGAAGGTATGGGTGTGGAAGGTATGACTGTGGAAGGTATGGGTGTGGAAGGTATGGGTGTGGAAGGTATGGGTGTGGAAGGTATGGGTGTGGAAGGTATGACTGTGGAAGGTATGGGTGTGGAAGGTATGGGTGTGGAAGGTATGGCTGTGGAAGGTATGGGTGTGGAAGGTATGACTGTGGAAGGTATGGGTGTGGAAGGTATGGGTGTGGAAGGTATGGGTGTGGAAGGTATGGGTGTGGAAGGTATGGGTGTGGAAGGTACGAGTGTGGTAGGTATGGCTGCAGAAAGTCGTCCCGGTGCTGCATGGGGGTGGATCCCCGAAGCATTTGGGGTGGCTGAAAATGAGAAGAAGGGTAGCAAAAAGTGCGGCCGGCATGCGGGGAATCCTGTAGGCAACGGGAGCCAGGGAGGACTCAGTTTTGCATTGTACAAATGGCATTTAACAAGTGGTGCCTGGAGCGGTCCGATTTGCAGGCAGTGAGGAGGCCAGGAGAGCCTGCGGGTTTCCAAGCAGGACCAGGGGAGGGCGCCAAGGAGTCGGCAGCTGCGAGAAATATTTGGGACAAGGTTTCTCAAACTGGAGCCCGAGGGCCTCTAGGGAGTCCTAGGTTAAATTGGAGGAGTCTTCAAGTTTATCTGGAGAAAGGCCGTCTTAGGAAACAAGTCTCATTCCCTGAAAAGGGCTTTGCAGTTACTCATCTTCATTGCGCTGGACTTTTGTCTATTTTTTTTTTTTTTTTTGAGATGGAGTTTTCGCTCTTGTTGCCCAGGCTGGAGTGCAGTGGCGCGATCTCAGCTCACTGGAACCTCAGCCTCCCGGGTTCAAGCAATTCTCCTGCCTCAGCCTCCCGAGTGGCTGGGATTACAGGCATGCGCCACCACACCCGGCTAATTTTTGTATTTTAAGTAGAGACAGGGCTTCTCCATGTTGGTCAGGCTGGTCTCGAACTCCTGACCTCGTGATCCTCCCGCCTCAGCCTCCCAAAGTGCTGGGATTACAGGCGTGAGCCACCGCACCCAGCATAGACTTTTGTCTTTTAACCCTGAAAAGGATTGAGACTAAGAGATTGAGAATCGTTTGCTGGTATTCTGACAGCAGGACCTGTTTTTCTCCAAGCTGGGGAAGGATGAGAGGCGCAGTTTAGGGAGTAAAATGACCACATGCATTTAATGTGGGTGGAGAGGGAGCGAGAAGCACCCTAGATGGCTGCCTCTGGGGCCCTCGGGGAACACAGGACAGGTGTGGGCAGCCTGCAGGGAGCGCTCTGGGATCCCTTTCAGCCCTAAAGAAGGCCCAGGCCCACTTGGACTTCCTGCTCTTCTCTGTCCTGGCCCAGGAGTTTCCCTCTTCCCCTATGGGGCAGGCGCCGGGGACCTGGAGTTCGTCAGGAGGACCGTGGACTTCACCTCCCCACTCTTCAAGCCGGCGACTGGCTTCCCCCTTGGCTCCTCTCTCCGTGATTCCCTCTACGTGAGTCCGGGCTGCGGCCCGCGCAGCCTGAACTCCCAGGGCCCACTTCTCTCTCCTGCTTCGAGACGGAACCCAGAGGAAGCGGGAATGGAAGCAGCCTTGGCTGGGCCCCTCGTCCATCCCCACAGCCTCCTTAATGTCAGGCCTCTGCCTGAGGAACACAGGGTGCCAGGCGAGGGCTGCCCACCTGCTGGGCCCACCGCTGCTTCTGCGGGGCCTTCTCAGGAGTAAAAAGCTACACTTGGGAAACTGGACTGTTCCTGCCGTTTCCACCTTCTGGGATTTGTCTCTGGCCCCCTGGTCCCTGCCTCCTGGAGCAGAGTTGGAGGGACAGTCCTGGCTCCTGTGGCCCTGAGGGAGGAGGCTGAGTCCGAACACAGCATGAGAGGGCGACTGAGCGATGGAGAGGGTGTCCACACCTGCTGAGCGATAGAGAGAGGGTGTCCACACCTGCTGAGCGATGGCGAGAGGGTGTCCACACCTGCTGAGCGATGGCGAGAGGGTGTCCACACCTGCTGAGCGATGGCGAGAGGGTGTCCACACCTGCTGAGCGATAGAGAGAGGGTGTCCACACCTGCTGAGCGATGGCGAGAGGGTGTCCACACCTGCTGAGCGATAGAGAGAGGGTGTCCACACCTGCTGAGCGATGGAGAGAGGGTGTCCACACCTGCTGAGTGATAGAGAGAGGGTGTCCACACCTGCTGAGCGATGGAGAGAGGGTGTCCACACCTGCTGAGTGAGAGAGAGGTTTCCACCCCCTAAGTGATGGAGATGGGGTGTCTGCACCCCTGAGTGATGGAGAGAGGGTGTCTACACCCCTGAGCGATGGAGGGGGGTGCCTACACCTGCTGAGCGATAGAGAGAGGTTTCCACCCCCTAAGTGATGGAGATGGGGTGTCTGCACCCCTGAGCGATGGAGAGAGGGTATCTACACCTGCTGAGTGATAGAGAGAGGTTTCCACCCCCTAAGTGATGGAGATGGGGTGTCTGCACCCCTGAGCGATGGAGAGAGGGTGTCTACACCCCTGAGCGATGGAGAGGGGGTGTCTACACCCCTGAGCGATGGAGAGAGGATGTCTACACCCCGAACGATAGAGAGGGTGTCCACACCCCTGAGCGATGAAGGGAGGGTGTCTACACCCCTGAGCGATGGAGAGAGGGTGTCCACACCCCTGAGCGATGGAGAGAGGGTGTCTACACCCCTGAGCGATGGAGAGAGGGTATCTACACCCCTGAGCGATGGAGAGAGGGTGTCTACACCCCTGAGCGATGAAGGGAGGGTGTCTATAGCCCTGAGCACCCCTGAGCGATGAAGGGAGGGTGTCTATACCCCTGAGCGATGGAGAGAGGGTGTCTACACCCCTGAGCGATGG
This sequence comes from Homo sapiens, assembly GCF_000001405.40. Taxonomy (NCBI): domain Eukaryota; kingdom Metazoa; phylum Chordata; class Mammalia; order Primates; family Hominidae; genus Homo; species Homo sapiens. Next base: position 21,938 of record NT_187690.1, read on the forward strand.
AGAGGGGGTGTCTACACCCCTGAGCGATGGAGAGGGGGTGTCTACACCCCTGAGCGATGGAGAGAGGATGTCTACACCCCTGAGCGATGAAGGGAGGGTGTCTACACCCCTGAGGGATGGAGAGAGGGTGTCCACACCTGCTGAGTGATAGAGAGAGGTTTCCACCCCCTAAGTGATGGAGATGGGGTGTCTGCACCCCTGAGCGATGGAGAGAGGGTGTCTACACCCCTGAGCGGTGGAGAGAGGGTGTCTACACCCCTGAGCGATGAAGGGAGGGTGTCTACACCCCTGAGCGATGAAGGGAGGGTGTCTACACCCCTGAGCGATGGAGAGAGGGTGTCTACACCCCTGAGCGATGGAGGGAGGGTGTCTACACCCCTGAGCGATGAAGGGAGGGTGTCTACACCCCTGAGCGATGAAGGGAGGGTGTCTACACCCCTGAGCGATGGAGAGAGGGTGTCTACACCTGCTGAGCAATAGATAGAGGGTTCCACCCCCTAAGTGATGGAGATGGGGTGTCTGCACCCCTGAGCGATGGAGAGAGGGTGTCTACACCCCTGAGCGACGGAGGGAGGGCTCCACCCACTGAGCGATGGAGGGAGGGCTCCACCCCCTGAGCGATGGAGAGAGGGTTCCACTCCCTGAGCCCCACCTAATGTGTCGCAAACTTCAGGATGGGGCCCAGGGGACTGGCCAAGAGGGGTGTGCCTGTGAGGGGCTGGTCCACAGCCAGGGATCTGCAGTGAAACAGGACCAAGCCTACCACCCGAGGACGCAAGGGATGGCCTGAGGGCGGAGCATTCTGTGAGAATATATGGAAAGGGCTCTCCCCAAAACAGGACACAGGAGGTGACTTCCAGGGGTTGTTAGCATCTCTAAAGCTCTACCCTTGGGGGTCACGCTTTTGAGGAGCTGGACCAAGGCTGGGACTTTCCTCCCCACTTCCCTCCCTGAATGCTGACCACAAAACCCATGTGCTCAGTTCACAGACAATGGCCAGATCATCTTCCCAGAGTCAGACTACCAGATTTTCTCCTACCCCAACCCACTCCCAACAGGCTTCACAGGCCGGGACCCTGTGGCCCTGGTGGCTCCGTTCTGGGACGATGCTGACTTCTCCACTGGTCGGGGGACCACATTTTATCAGGTGAGCCTTTCAAAGCCTGGCAGTCAGGATCCCCCAGCAGCTGGCAGGGGAGACAAAGAGCTGTGTGGAAGGCTTTGCCAGAGTTGCTGCTGTGACAGCCCCTGCAGCAGGGGACTGAGGCTTAAATATGGGTGTGGGAGGAAGCAGTCAAGGGACATTAAGCTGACTCAGGAGTACCCCAACCCAACCACGAGACTGACCAGGAATACCCCAACCCAACCACGAGACTGACCAGGAATACCCCAACCCGGCCGCGAGACTGACCAGGAATACCCCAACCCAACCACGAGACTGACCAGGAATACCCCAACCCAACCACGAGACTGACCAGGAATACCCCAACCCAACCACGAGACTGACCAGGAATACCCCAACCCAACCACGAGACTGACCAGGAATACCCCAACCCAACCACGAGACTGACCAGGAATACACCAACCCAACCACGAGACTGACCAGGAATACCCCAACCCAACCACGAGACTGACCAGGAATACCCCAACCCGGCCGCGAGACTGACCAGGAATACCCCAACCCGGCCACGAGACTGACCAGGAATACCCCAACCCGGCCACGAGACTGACCAGGAATACCCCAACCCAACCACGAGACTGACCAGGAATACCCCAACCCAACCACGAGACTGACCAGGAATACCCCAACCCGGCCGCGAGACTGACCAGGAATACCCCAACCCGGCCACGAGAAGACCTACAGGTGACGGGGGATGGGGGCTGACAATTCAGCCTTTGATTGTAAAATCAGGCTGTAGGGGGTCTATCCTAACAAGAGTGAGTCAAGAGGGCCCGTCCTGTGCTCCTGGACTGGGTGAATAACTCCAATCAGAGGAAATGTGATGAAAGCTACTGCAGGAAGTGTGGACCGTGCCCCTGCCACGGACAGGGCAGTGTGGAGGCTCCAAGAGGAAGAGACTCACGCCTGTTCTCAAGAAGCTGCAGATTAGGCATGGGGAGGTAAAAGTGGGCCCGAGTGGCTCTGCTCTCTGGGCCAGTTTGAGCTAAGATGCTTGAGTTCAAGTCCAGAGGTCTTGGACGTCTGGGCCACGACCCTGCATTCTGCACACTGCAGGCCTTCCTGCAGCCCAAGTTTGAATTGAACTTCACCTCAGAAAAGCTCACGGCAAAAATGCAGGCCTGGGACAGGGGAGGGCAGGCCATTGGGTGGGCTGAAGTGGGCAGGGTCCTCAGGCAGAAAGTGGGGGGCCCATGTGTAGGAGTGGGACCCTCGTTGGCTTGTTTTCATCTGCCCTCCTTTCCTAGGAATACGAGACGTTCTATGGTGAACACAGCCTGCTAGTCCAGCAGGCCGAGTCTTGGATTAGAAAGATGACAAACAACGGGGGCTACAAGGCCAGGTGGGCCCTAAAGGTCACGTGGGTCAATGCCCACGCCTATCCTGCCCAGTGGACCCTCGGGGTGAGTAGACCCCTGGGCAGCTCCCAGGAGCTATCTGGGAGTCAGACATCCTAGAATCCTAGGCAGGGGCCACTCTTCCAAAATCCTCTCTGGCTCTAGGAAAGATTGCTAATTATAGCAAGCCCCCCCACCGCCACCCCCCCACTGCCACCACTGTTGGCTGAGCACTCACCGTGGGCCCGGCCTGTCTCGGCCCTTTGCCTACTTGACCTCACAGCAGCCCAGCAAACCGGGTATTATTAGGCTGAAACATAGCAAGTGGCATTTTTGTAAGTCAAAAATGTCTGGCTATTCACAATTTCACGTGGCTCAGTCTGGTATTATGCTCCCCATTTTACAGATGAGGAAGACAATGGTTAGAGAGGTTAAGTAACTCGTTCAGAGTCACGCCACTGGCAAATGGCAAAGCCAGGCCTGAGTGGAGCTTCTTCTGACTCCAGCCTCTGGCTCTGAAGCACAGGCTCATCCAACGGGCACAGGGTGCGCCACACCATCTCCTCTGTCCTCCCTCCGAGGACCCCGCTCTTGTAGTCACCAAGTTCTTCCTTATGCCTGGTCTAAAGTCACTCATTTCTTCATTCACTCGACAAAAGTTCACTGGTCACCTACTGTGGACAACGTGTGCGCCTTCAGTGAACCCCAGTGTCATCCATGCTGTTTAGATGGAGGAGACAATTTGGGCAATGTCCTTAAATATCCGCGCGGGAGCTAATGAAGCCTCCTCTCTAGCTCTCTGGTATCTTGGCTGATCTCAGGTTCTGGTAGCTTTCTCTAACAAACACTCATCTAACTGAATTGTAACCCAGAACCCTTTATCTCCCCTCCTGGAAGAAAGTCACCAAAAGGCAAATCCACCGTGGTAAGTGCGTTCGCACCCAGGGTGAAAGCTGCCCTCACTGACCCAAAACTTGCCAGCATTTTGGGCCCATGTCTTTGCTGTGGGCAGACCAGGAACAGGTGCTGTGCGTGTCAGAGCAGGGCTGTGGGACGGGCGGGGGGACATAAGAGAGGAGACCCCGGATCTCTCACGGGCATCCCTGTGTTTTCTTCCACCCACCCCCAGAGCAACACCTACCAAGCCATCCTCTCCACGGACGGGAGCAGGTCCTATGCCCTGTTTCTCTACCAGAGCGGTGGGATGCAGTGGGACGTGGCCCAGCGCTCAGGCAACCCGGTGCTCATGGGCTTCTCTAGGTAGGATGGGAGGGGCTGTCAGCACTGAGCAGTTGGCAGGGAGGGGTGTAGAGTCGGCTTTCGCTGCACACACACTCCCATCCTGGGGCAAGGCGGGAACCCTCCTGGCTGGTGCTTCTGACTCACGCTGACTCCAGCTCCCGCTGGGGCCAGGCATCTGGCTGCTTCCCACGACAAGATCACCCATTTGTCCGCCATGCCCTTTCCCATCCCAGTCCCCGTGAGTTGTAATCATTCCCAGAGCTTTGGCTTCCCTGATTTCCACTGACATTAGCTGGCCTCTCTTACCTTCTCAAATATCGTGATAATAACAGCCAAGACTGATGACACTAACACTTCGTGTACATTACTGCATGTCATGATCACAGCCACCCCACGAGGCAGATACTATTTATCATCCCCATTCTACAGATCAGGAAACTGAGATACAAATAGACTAGCAATTTGCCTAAAGTCCCAGAGCTGGGAAGTGGCAACATGGAGATTTGAACCCAGACATCTGAGGCTAGAATCTGCCTTCCTGACTTCCTGAGAATTACCCACTTATCCAGGGGGCACCCAAAAGCTTATATGGAGCCGGTGGTGAAGGGAGAGAGGAGGCACGGGGCTGTGGGCGGTTGAAATGTGGATTCCCGTGTGTGGGAGGCTGTCTCCGATGTAGCAGTGCGCCATCTCTGTTCCCATATGCTGGGGTGTGGCAATCAGTACGAAGGCCACATGTCTTTTGTTCTTGATAATTGCTGCAAATGTCTTCTCTTACATTGAGTGTGTTCAGGTTACCCCTTTGATTACACTGCTTTCACTAGTTTCTTGGTGTGCTATGAAGGAGAAAGGAGGGGAATTACCCAACTCTAGGAATTTCACACGGTCCAGGTACACCCAAGGAAGGTGTCACGCAGGGGTGCATCATCCTGCTTGTGTCAGGGAGGAGGAAAAGCCCAAGAGTCCCCACTCTGCAGCAGGCACCCAGGGTGGGGCTGCAGGCGGCTGCTCCAGGCTTTCCTCCTTCCCGGGCCATGCTCGGACCCCACACCTGGGGACGGTGATGGCGATAGTGGTGGTGGTGGTGGTGGTGGTGGTGGTAGTGGCGGTGGAGGTGGCAGTGGCGATGGTGATGGTGGTGATGGTGGTGGTGATGGTGGTGATGGTGGTGGTGTTGGGGGTGATGGTGGCGATGGTGGTGGTGGTGATGGTGGTGGTGGTGGTGATGGTGGTGATGATGGTGGTGGCAATGATGGTGGTGATGGTGGTGGTGGTGGTGATGGTGGTGGTGGCGATGGTGATGGTGGTGGTGATGGTGGTGGTGGCCGATGGTGGTATTTTTTGGGGGGTGGCCAGTGATGGTGGTGATGGTGATGGTGGTGGTGGTGGTGGTGGCGATGGTGGTGGTGATGGTGGTGATGGTGGTGGCAATGGTGATGATGGTGGTGGTGGTGATGGTGGTGGTGATGGTGGTGGCAATGGTAATGGTGATGGTGATGATGGTGGTGGCGATGGTGGTGGTGATGGTGATGGTGGTGGTGATGGTGATGGTGGTGGTGATGGTGATGGTGGTGGTAGTGTTGGTGGTGGTGGTGGTGATGGTGATGGTGATGGTAGTGTTGGTGGTGACGATGATGGTGGTGGTGGTGGTAGTGCTGGCGATGGTGGTGGTGGTGGTAGCAGCAGTGGCAGCATCTGTTGTATCAAGGCCTCACTCAGTTCTGAGGGATTTGCAGATGTTACTGCATTTAATCCTCACAATACAGTGAGGTAGATGCCACTGTAATCCCTTTTATACAGATGTGAAAACTAAGAATCAGAGAGGGTCAGTAACTTGTCTGTGGTCACCAAGCTAGTAAGTGGGGGGATCAGCAGTTGAATCCATCACTGCCTAACTCCAGAAACTGGGTCTTAACCATCACAATACACTGTCCCTAGAGTCTGTCCCGCTCCAAACCCTCTGCTTGTTGAAGGGAAACAAACAGAAATGAGGCCTGAACTCTGTTGTTTTCACGCCCCTGTCTCATGACCAAGCGGACCTGCCAGTTTCTTGCAGCTAGCGATCAGATGTGGAATCGGTTAGAGCCTCCTACCTCTGCCCAGCCATCTTGTCCCCTCTCCTGCTCAGTGCTGGGGCTTGACGATGGGGGCTGGCTGACCCACTGACCCACTGCCCGCCTAGCTGGTTGACCAGCTGCTGACCGGCTAGCGGGATGAATGGACGCCTTGCAACCGCGAGGCAAGAGCCTGTGCACGGCAGAGGCCTGAGAGTCTCTCCTTTCCTGCAGTGGAGATGGCTATTTCGAAAACAGCCCACTGATGTCCCAGCCAGTGTGGGAGAGGTATCGCCCTGATAGATTCCTGAATTCCAACTCAGGTAAAAGTGCCACCTTATCACACCTGAGCTGGTCTCAAGCCCTCGCGTGTCCTCCAGCCCATACACCATCGCAGTCCTAGAGGGCACCTCCCTAACATCACGGCCATCCTGAAGGGCCTCCCCCACACAGTTCAACCTCCTACAGGTCTAGGTGGGATGTGGCACCACCCAGGGAGCAGCTGGCACCTCCTGCACCCCTGGACACAGCACAGTCTCAGAGGGGGCTACATCTCCTCCCTCAGATGAACCAGCCCAAGAGGGCTCTCGGGGGGCCCAGATCCTGGAAGTGAGGACAGGGTCTTGTGGGAGGTGGGATTTGAATGGGCAGTTCAGACAATACTCCAAGTGTCCTGTCCAGAGCAGGAATGAGAACCCAGGTGAGATCCTTTAAGAAAATCTACCGGCTGGGCGCCATGGCTCACACCTGTAATCCCAGCATTTTGGGAGGCTGAGGTGGGCGGATCACTTGAGATCAGGAGTTCGAGACCAGCCTGGCCAACATGGTGAAATTCTGTCTCTACTAAAAATACAAAAATTAGCCAGACGTTGTGGTGCACACCTGTAATTCCAGCTACTCAATAGGTTGAGGCAGGAGAATTGTTTGAACCTGGGAGGTGGAGGTTGCAGCGAGCCGAGATCGCGCCACTGCACTCCAGCCTGGGTGACAGAGTGAGACTCCATCTCAAAAAGAGAGAATCCACCAAGAAGAGGCCCGGGGGTCTCACGTTCATTGTCATCATTTACTGGGCACCTGCCGTGTGCTGGACACCGTGCTAACAGCCAGAAACAAAGGAAAAAGACCAACTGTGTTTTCTCTCAAAGAGCTTTCATGCGGGTAGAAAGACAAGCGTCAAGAGGCAAACAATGGCGCCTTCTCCATGACTCAGTCCAGAGGCCCCAATGGGAAAGAAATAATAGTTTCCAAAATGTGATAGGTTGAAGGACATTTTAGCCTTAGAAACCAGCCACGTGAACTGTGAAGTGTAAATCCAGTTCTATTTGTTCTGTGGCAACCACGTTTGGTCGTCAGAAGCAGACGCTAAGTCAAGCGAGGGGCTTTGGGGGAGGAATTGTTGCCCATCTGACTTGGGTCCAAAGAGGTGAGAAGTGGCAGGAGGGGGTGCATTTGTGAGTTTTGGTTGACCCTAAAGCTGAGACAGGGCCTGCAGCCCCAGCCCTGGATAAGCCCTTTCCCCCCCATCCCCGACCTCAGGCCTCCAAGGGCTGCAGTTCTACAGGCTACACCGGGAAGAAAGGCCCAACTACCGTCTCGAGTGCCTGCAGTGGCTGAAGAGCCAGCCTCGGTGGCCCAGCTGGGGCTGGAACCAGGTCTCCTGCCCTTGTTCCTGGCAGCAGGGACGACGGGACTTACGATTCCAACCCGTCAGCATAGGTGACACCTCCTTCCCGCCCCCCACAAGCCCACCCACCACCCTCTCTGCTCACGCCCTCAGCCTCTCCCCAGAAACAGCCCCTGCTTGTTCCCACCCCGCCCCTGGCAGCCCCAGCCTGGGCCTGAGTGGGACTGGACTTGTTTCAGGTCGCTGGGGCCTCGGCAGTAGGCAGCTGTGCAGCTTCACCTCTTGGCGAGGAGGCGTGTGCTGCAGCTACGGGCCCTGGGGAGAGTTTCGTGAAGGCTGGCACGTGCAGCGTCCTTGGCAGTTGGGTGCGTGAGTCCGTGATCTCAACCCCACCTTCCCGGCCAAGTAGGGGACCCTCAGCATGAAGCCTCTCGTCCTCATTCCTTCCCAGACCCTTCCCCTCTCTGGGCCTCCACTTCCTGATCGGGTAACGTTAGGAAGCTTCCAACATCCCCACCAGCGGACATTCGGGGATGTATGAGCTGAGAGCCTCTTTCCTCATCTCTATACCTGGCTCCACATCCCCAGGCCAGAGTGGGGCCATTTCTCCAGGCAAGAAGAGAGCGCCTAGGCTGACCCCGTCCCTGTAGACCCAGATGAGCAGGATGTTTGGGGGAAGACTGAGAGTCAGCTCCCACAGAGACGCTCCAAGGGAGCTGGAGAGCGCAGGGGTGTGGGGTCACGTGGTCTGTGTCCTCCCGTTCTCTCCCCCGTCCCATGGCAGTTTCCACAGTTCCCAGACCGTCAGCCGTGCCCTCCCCACTCCCAGCACGTTGAGAGCAGCAGTACTTGGCTCTCCACCCTCAAGACAGGAAATTTGCTTAGCTCCTACCATGCGCCCTGCTGCACAGTGGCCCCAATGCCTGCAAAAGAGACAGCACCCTATTCACTGCCCAAGGTCATGAGAAGGGCCATGCTGGATTCCAAAGCCATGCTCTTGCCACCAACACCGCCCTGCCCTACCAAGCTCTCCACCAACACCGCCCTGCCCTGCCAAGCTCTCCACCAACACCGCCCTGCCCTGCCAAGCTCTCCACCAACACCGCCCTGCCCTGCCAAGCTCTCAACCAACACCACCCTGCCCTGCCAAGCTTCTCCAGGTCCTCAACCTCCCCGACTCACTGCTGTTCTCCGCAGCCCAGGAACTGGAGCCACAGAGCTGGTGCTGCCGCTGGAATGACAAGCCCTACCTCTGTGCCCTGTACCAGCAGAGGCGGCCCCACGTGGGCTGTGCTACATACAGGCCCCCACAGCCCGGTGAGCGACAGGGCCCAGGCCCAGGAAGAGCCTCTGGGGAGGGGGAGCTTCTGGGCTTCCGGGAGGTGGCATCTGGATAAGGAGTAGGGGCAGAGCTGTGGCCACAAGGGAAGATGGAGATGACGCCAGTGATGGGTGGATGGTCAGTGGAGGGGCTTTGTACCTGAGTTGGGGAAGGAGTGAGAATAGCGGGGCACGAAAATGCAAGGAGGCTTGAGGGGAGGATTCTGTGCTCTGTGAACATCTCCCCAGCTGAGTCCGCCCGGACAAGTGCCCCAGTCGACTGCAGTGAGGAACCTCACCCTGAGTCCTCCTGGACAAGTGCCGCACCTGACTGCAGTGAGGAACCTCAGCCCTACACATGATTTGTCATGCTGAGGCAGCATCTCTTTTTTCCTTCCAGCCTGGATGTTCGGGGACCCCCACATCACCACCTTGGATGGTGTCAGTTACACCTTCAATGGGCTGGGGGACTTCCTGCTGGTCGGGGCCCAAGACGGGAACTCCTCCTTCCTGCTTCAGGGCCGCACCGCCCAGACTGGCTCAGCCCAGGCCACCAACTTCATCGCCTTTGCGGCTCAGTACCGCTCCAGCAGCCTGGGCCCCGTCACGGTGAGTGAGGGGTGCCGGGAACCTCCCTGCATTCCACCCACAGGGACCTTCAGCCACATACTGAGGCCGAGGAGAAGGAAGAGAGCGAAGGAGGGGAAGCCGGGCAGGAGGGAGGGAGGACACAGCCCATCCACGCAGCTGTCCCGGAGTAAATCCTGGGGATGGTGGATTAGGGCTCTGGCCCCACGGTTTCCCAGCTGCTTGGCTTCGAAGAAACTACTTAATTTGGTTTTCTCCTAGTAAGAATGGGGATGACATTACCTGCCTCACGGGCTGTTGTAAGAGCTAAAGGGCATAATCCGAAAACCATGCCTGGCCCTGCCGAGCACACGGTAGACGGCGGCTGGCATCACCTCAGGCCGCGGCCTCCAGCGCCTTCCTCCCGGCCCAGGGCGCAGCTTCCAGCCCCAGGGGCTCTCCCAGCTGCTTTCCTGGGCGTCGGCTCCACCTGCGGGTCGGGCTCAGGCCCCCTCCCATCTCCTTCCAGGTCCAATGGCTCCTTGAGCCTCACGACGCAATCCGTGTCCTGCTGGATAACCAGACTGTGACATTTCAGCCTGACCATGAAGACGGCGGAGGTAGGTTGGGGAGCGCCGGCCGCCCCCTCCCCGCACCGGGAGCAGCGAGGTGGGCGGGAAGCCGCGTTGCGGTGCAGGGCCGGGCGCGTGGCGGTGCAGGGCCGGGTGCGTTGTGGTGCAGGGCCGGGCGCGTGGCGGTGCCGCGCCGAGTGCTTTGCGGTGCAGGGCCGGGTGCGTTGTGGTGCAGGGCCCGGTGCGTGGCGGTGCAGGGCCCGGTGCGTGGCGGTGCAGGGCCGGGTGCGTGGCGGTGCAGGGCCGGGTGCGTGGCGGTGCAGGGCCCGGTGCGTTGCGGTGCAGGGCCGGGTGCGTTGCGGTGCAGGGCCCGGTGCGTGGCGGTGCAGGGCCGAGTGCGTTGTGGTGCCGGGCCCGGTGCGTGGCGGTGCAGGGCCCGGTGCGTGGCGGTGCAGGGCCAAGAGAGCGCAGCCTCTACCCCCGAGCGGGGCGTGCAGCTCGCCGGCCTCTTCTCCGCCTCCAGTGCAGACCCCTCCCGGCTTCAGCCCCAGGGGCGGGGTGGGGGTGGTGCGGGCCCGGCAGGGCGCGGGTTTGGTGCGGGCCGTGGTGCCGACCTGGCTTCCTCTCCGCTGCCTCCCGATGCTCCAGGCCAGGAGACGTTCAACGCCACCGGAGTCCTCCTGAGCCGCAACGGCTCTGAGGTCTCGGCCAGCTTCGACGGCTGGGCCACCGTCTCGGTGATCGCGCTCTCCAACATCCTCCACGCCTCCGCCAGCCTCCCGCCCGAGTACCAGAACCGCACGGAGGGGCTCCTGGGTGAGGGCGGCTCGGACCTGCCTCTGAGGCTCCGCGGAGCCAGCCGGAGCTCGGACCCCCACGCCGGCGGCCCGGGCAGCCCTGCTCGGCCTCCCTTTCTCCGCCTCCTTGGAGCAGAACCCTTGGGGCACAGAGCGGGCCGGGAGCCGAGGGGCTTCTCCAGCCTCCCCCGAGGCTCCCTTCCTGTCCTCCGCCCGCTCTAAGGGAGCATCAGGGGGGGCTGCGGGGAGGCGGGGGGCACAGCCATCCTTTCTCCCTTTCCTCTTGCCTCCCACATCCTCCCGCCCTCCTCCACCGCTGCCCGCGTTTCCTCCCGCCCCTCCCGAAGGCAGACGGGCAGGGTGTGAGGGCCCGTCCTCCCGGCTCCCCTGGAGGCCTGACAGCAGGTGCAAGAGCAGAGGCTGCCAGGCCCTGGCCTCTCCCCACTGCGTCCGCCGGATGCTCCCCAGGAAGGGGACAGCCGCGTGCCCAGGGTGGCCAACCTCCCACTCTGTCCCTCAGGGGTCTGGAATAACAATCCAGAGGACGACTTCAGGATGCCCAATGGCTCCACCATTCCCCCAGGGAGCCCTGAGGAGATGCTTTTCCACTTTGGAATGACCTGTGAGTCTGGGCAGGGTCCTGGGGCAGAGGGGCAGGTGAGGGGAGCCGGTATGTTTATGTCGTCCCCCTCGGCCCTGTAGGAAGCAGACCTCCATCCTCCCTAAGGTCTGAGGAATCTGTGCCCCCCCAGGGCTGTCCCCACCACCACCAGCCCACCTGCCTCTCTCTACCTGGAGGAGAGAATGGGGGACGTGGAGTGTCCTCTCTCACTGCAGCAGGTGTTTCTAGACTCAGAAGCTGGAAACCGCTCTGGCCCTGCACTCCCACCGCCCCGCTCCAAGCCATCTAAAGTGAGGGGTAGAGGTGGACACAGATGGAATAAGGCTGAGTGCCATGCCTGGTACCACCGCGCTCTGTGTGTTACAGGGCAGATCAACGGGACAGGCCTCCTTGGCAAGAGGAATGACCAGCTGCCTTCCAACTTCACCCCTGTTTTCTACTCACAACTGCAAAAAAACAGCTCCTGGGCTGAACATTTGATCTCCAACTGTGACGGAGATAGCTCATGCATCTATGACACCCTGGCCCTGCGCAACGCAAGCATCGGACTTCACACGAGGGAAGTCAGTAAAAACTACGAGCAGGCGAACGCCACCCTCAGTAAGTGGCCCGAGGCCTGGGGAGGCCTTTTCAGAGTCGGGAGCAGATGAGGAGCTGCCCTTGCCTGACCCTGCTTTTCCCTGTGCATCTGCATTCACTGAGCAGATTCTTCCACTCCTGGCATTCCTCTGCTCAAACCCTTCAGAGACTTCCCTGGCTCTCTCCATCCTTGCAGTGGCCTTCGGCCCAGTTCAGCTTCTCAGAGCTCTTCTCCTAGTGCTGGACGCCTTCCCAGCCCCCTCCGTCCATCCTAGCGCTGGATGCCTTCCCAGCCCCCTTCACTCCATACTAGCGCTGGACGCCTTCCCAGCCCCCTCCACTCCATCCTAGCGCTGGACCCCTTCCCAGCCCCCTCCATCCATCCTAGCGCTGGATGCCTTCCCAGCCCCCTCCACTCCATCCTAGCGCTGGACCCCTTCCCAGCTCCCTGCACTCCAGCCCCGCAGGCTCCTCTGTGTTCTTCAAACACGCTAGGTGCGCTCAGCTCCCAGGCTTCACACGTGCTGTTCTCTTGCCTGGAATACCCTTCCTTCCCTGGACAGCCACACGCTTGCCCCTCACCTTCTTTACGTCTTCATTCCAATGTCCCCTCCTTGGTGAGGCCTCTCTTGGCCGCCCTGTCTAAAATGTCACATTCACCCACACTTCATGTTTGCCTTCCCTGCTTTATTTTTTTCTCCTTAGCATTTATAATTACTCAACATATTTTATAATTTTCACAGGTATCTTTTTAATTATTCATTCATGACTGTATCCTCACCACCCAGAACAGTGCCAGCCACTTAGCTCAATAAATGTTTGTTAAATGACTGACTGAATGAATGTGTGAAGCAACTATGAAATGGAAATGGCAGGGCTCCGAGAAACAGACCCGTGAAGAGGTTTCACTCCCTCTCTATTTCTGGACAAATGCAATGTCCCTTTAGATGTGACCCTCCAGGTTTTGTGCGTGTGTGTGTGTGTGTTGACGGAGTTTCGCTCTTGTTGCCCAGGCTGGAGTGCAGTGACGTGATCTCGGCTCGTCGCAACCTCTGCTTCCCGGGTTCAAGCGATTCTTCTGTTTCAGCCTCCTGAATAGCTGAGATTACAGGCACCCGCCACCATGCCTGACTAATTTTGTATTTTTAGTAGAGACAGGGTTTCACCATGTTGGTCAGGCTGGTCGCGAACTCCTGACCTCAGGTTATCCACCGGCCTCGGCCTCCCAAAGTGCTGGGATTACAGACATGAGACACCCAGCACCCTTCAGGTTTTCAGCCCTTTGCCAAAGGTACAACCCTTTGGTCTAAGGGTACAACCCTTTGTAATGGTCCAAACAAATCTGCTCTCTAATTCACTTTTTGTCATACCCAGCATAGCACTGTGTTCAGGAAAGAATCTGAAAGGAGCTCTTTTTGAGGAGGTGGGGGGAGAGAAAGAGGCTAAAGATTTGGCTAGGTGGGCAGTACAGTCCCAGCCTGCTGTGCGTCAGTCGAGAGCAGGTACACAGAATAATTCCTTCTTCCAGAGGTGGGTCACAGTCCTGGGAATGCCTCACACATATTAGAGTTGAGAAAGAGAGGAGGCTGATAAAGCAGGAGACTGTCCTGCCTCGGAACCCCCATTCCCTCTTTGTGTTTCAGATCAGTACCCGCCCTCCATCAATGGTGGTCGTGTGATTGAAGCCTACAAGGGGCAGACCACGCTGATTCAGTACACCAGCAATGCTGAGGATGCCAACTTCACGCTCAGAGACAGCTGCACCGACTTGGAGCTCTTTGGTAGGACTATTTGGCTGGCTGGGGAGAGTGGGGAGGTGGGTAGGGGATGAGGTCAGAGTCAAATTTGGGAAATTCTGCATTGCTACACCCAGCAACACTTGCTGTCACTCTTTCATTTGAATATCCAGGACCGGCATTTCCGAGGAGCGATATCTATAACTCAAATAGGTGCCCCCCAGTAAGTAGTAGTGACGGGCTTACGGCGGTTTGGCCAGATAGCTAGAGTGACTCTGGGCACATAGAACTGATTCAAGGCTGGGCGCGGTGGCTCATGCCTGTCATCCCAGCGCTTTGGGAGGCCGAGGTGGGCGGATCATCTGAGGTCAGGAGTTCGAGACCAGTCTGGCCAACATGGTGAAACCCCGTCTGTACTAAAAATACAAAAAAAAAAAAAAAAGCCAGGCATGGTGGTGCATGCCTGTAATCCCAGCTACTCAGGAGACTGAGGCAGGAGAATCGCTTGAACCCAGGAGGCAGATGTTGCAGTGAGCTGAGATCGCGTCACTGCACTCCAGCCTGGTGACAGAGCGAGACTCTGTCTCAAAAAAAAGATTTGAAGATCATTTAATCTCAATCTGATCATATATAGTCATCTTTAGTCATTATGCATTCACCAAATTATTAGAATAATCAAGTGCAACATTTAAAATGACCAATTTACAACATTTTTATATCTATTAAAGGAAGGCTCTAATGTAGGACAAGATTTAAAGAAATATGAAAAATACTTTCGTTTGGTACCTTTCTTGCTCTTTTTGTCTGGCAACCATGTTTACCTAGCCGTGTCTCTCCTTGTCTGGTTTCCTGGGCTAGGACCCAGTAGAGTGCCATCGCTCCCTCTCCGTAAAGGTGTTAGAGACCCCGAGCCCTACATCCATGATCAGGGCCAAAGGCTCCAAGCACAAGGGACGCTGCTTTCGTCTGTTGCCAGCACTAATTCAAAGGGTCCAAGGGCATCAAAGGGATGCCACTTTCTGTCTGTTGCCAGCACTAATTCTGAGGGTGACTGTTCTTGGCTAAACCAAAGCCCCGGGGGGCATATTTTGCGTTCTCTTTGCCTCTCTGCCTGATGTTCTTTCTCTCTGTGTCTCAGAAGGGACTGCTTTGCCTGCATCCCTTTTGCCCCATGTGCGTCCTCCCAGGTGCGAGACAATGGCACTGAGAGGTTTTCTTCTCCACGGGCCCCACCCCTGAAGGACGATGGTCTGGAAATTACGTTCGTCTATTCTCTGTCACTTCCTTTCAATCTGCTGTTTTAAGGAGACTTTCCTATTTTCTTGAAAAATATCAGTTTGATCTGAAGATATGTAGTAGTGTTTCACTACAGTCTGGTGTCTGAAGGGGGTGTCTGGGAAAGGTCCAGGAAGTGGGGGGTGGGTGAGAAATCAGGGCAAAGGATGGGGCTGCCGTGAGAGTGAAGCCAGTTTGGCCGGCAGCGCAGCCTGGGGAGGTGTCTGGAGGATCCTGGCCTTGATCCTCCATCCCCCAGGATGTCCCATCCTGGTGTGAGCCCAGCCAGGGCTGCCCTTTGGGGTTTCTTCAGGAGGAAACTGCTTTCCCCTCTGTGGCGTTCCCCGCTACAATCAGTATGTTGGACTGGTGCCACGTCCTTCCAGCTGGGAGCGTGACCAGGATCACCCCCGATACCAGCCTTGCTCAAAGGAAATGACCAATGAGATTTGTCTGGGGAGGGGGAGGGTGGCCTGAGAGGGGTGGGGGAAGCCCCGTATCAGCAATCAGACCACAGAGCCGAGGAGTCTCCCAGCTCTCAACATTCTCATCTTCCCCGGGGCAGAGAATGGGACGTTGCTGTGGACACCCAAGTCGCTGGAGCCATTCACTCTGGAGATTCTAGCAAGAAGTGCCAAGATTGGCTTGGCATCTGCACTCCAGCCCAGGACTGTGGTCTGCCATTGCAATGCAGAGAGCCAGTGTTTGTACAATCAGACCAGCAGGGTGGGCAACTCCTCCCTGGAGGTGAGTGTTGGGAGGTGGGGGAGGAGTTTCTGTGCCGAGGGGAGAGGAAATGGGAGTGGAATGGATGCTGTGATTCTGCCTGTCCTGGGTGTGTCTGTGTTGGGAGATGGGTGGAGCAGTGGTAGGTGAGTAGAGCAGATTCCAGTCTCAGGCCACAAACTCACATGGGAAGAAAGAGAACTTTCTGGCCGGGTGCAGTGGCTCACGCCTTTAATCTCAGCACTTTTGGAGGCTGAGGCAAGCGGATCACAAGGTCAGGAGATCGAGACCATCCTGACCAACATGGTGAAACCCCATCTCTACTAAAAATACAAAAATTAGCTGGGCGTGGTGGCAGGCGCCTGTAGTCCCAGCTACTCGGGAGGCTGCGGCAGGAAAATCGCTTGCACCCGGGAGGTGGAGGTTACAGTGAGCCAAGATTGCGCCATTGTACTCCAGCCTGGGCAACAGAGTGAGACTCTATGTCAAAAAGAAAGAAAAGAAAAGAAAAGAAAAGAAAAGAAAGAAAGAAGGAGGGAAAGAAAGGAAAGGAAAGAAAGGAAAGGAAAGAAAGGGAAAGGAGAAAAAGAAAGAAAGAAAGAAACTATATTGGAGAAAAAGAAGGACGAAAGAAAGAAAAAGGAAGGAAGGAAGGAAAGAGGAAAGAACCTTACTTTATTGCTTATAGTTCAACTGGATTTTTATCTCCCACCTCCCCTTCTGCCAGGTTGGCAGGAAACTTCCACCTCCGTCTTTCTCACAGCGCCCCACAGCTCTGCGGCGAAGCCCAGCAGAGGGCCCTGCGGTGTGGGGTGGAAGGTGGTTGTGGGTCCCTGGGCGTGAGTCCACACAGGTTTCCATCACAGCTCCGCCCCACTTCCCCTTCAGACCCAGGGAGAGGCTCTGCTGCTTCTGTGCCTTGCTCAGACACAGGACACCTTTTCTGAGGCCGCTTACAGTCCTGTCTGCCTAGAAGCACCCCACAGTCATTTCTCCCTAGGATGTCATCATCACGGTGCTGGGAAGAGAGCTGCGGGTCCCTCTATCTTGACACCTCCAAGCCCCTTTGCTTTCTCTTTTACTATCTCCTTCCAGCTAAAAGAAACATCTTTTCCAGTTTGGAGAAACTACTTCTCCATGTTTCTAGCCAAGATACTTGGCCTAATTCCACGACTCTTGTCCTATCTGCTTTTTTATTTTTATTTTTGGTTGTAAAGGAAGAGCCAGAAAGGAAAGTGTTTATCTGGCAACACAAAACTACCTCCTTCACCACTTACACACACACGCATGCACACGCACACACAGACACACACACACATCCTTCTGAAGCATGAGCAGAGAATGGGTACTCGAAAGGGATAGAGGTAGGGACGGTTGGTGGGGTAGGGGGTAGAAAAGCATAAAATACACAATGGGAAAAAGAGATTGAAATCAATATACTATTCCACAGATCCCCAAATATCCACTCTTGGGAGTAGCAAGTGTTAGAGGATTCCATTTTAGGGAGATTCCCCGAGTCGCTTCAGTAAGGGAGTTAGAAAGGGGAGCGCAGGGAGCTTGGTGAGGTCTCGGCGCCGCAGCCTTTGCTGAGCTGCTGTACTGGCTGCTGTGTTTTCTCACAGTGCTCAGCAGGGAGGCTCTGTCTTCTTGGTTTGGGAGTCAGCAAGGGAGGTCAATTTCAGCTTATATGAAATCCAGTTTGCAGGCCACATAGGAGCCTGAGGCAGGCGGATTGCTTGAGCTCAGGACTTTGAGACCAGCCTGGGCAATATGGCAAGACCCTGTCTCTACTAAAAATCAAAAAATTAGCTGGGCGTGGTGGCATATGCCTGTAATCTCAAGTATTTGGGAGGCTGAGGCACAAGAATTGCTTTAACTTGGGAGGGGGACATTGCAGTGAGCCGAGATCGAGACACTGCACTGCAGCGTGGGAAACAGAACGAGACTGTCTCATTAAAAAAAAAAGCAGAAGAAAAATACAAAAATTAGTGGGCGTGGTGGTGCATGCCTGTAGCCCCAGCTCCTCGGGAGGCTGAGGTGGGAGGATGGCTTGAACCTGGGAGGTGGAGTTTGCAGTGAGCCAAGATCAAGACATTGCACTCCAGCCTGGGCAACCGAGTGGGACCCTGTCTCAAAATAAATAAGGAATCCAGTTTTCAAGCAATAGGACATACATGGATACATACACACATGGATACATACACACATGGATACACACATATGGATACATACATGGATACATGCATACATGCATGACACACACATACATACATGGATACATACATGGATACATACATTGATACATATCTACATGGATACATACATGATACATACACACATGGATACACACATGGATACATACATGCATACATGCATGGATACACACATACATACATGGATACATACATACATGGATACATACATCTATACATGGATACATTCATTCATTCATTCATGCTTCAATCATTCATGCATCCCCCATCTTACTCTAGAAAGGATTTCAGGCAAAGAGCTAGAGTGTGAGAGGGAAGAGGCTGAGATCCTGGTGCAGGGCCAGGCAGGGGGTCAGGGTAAACAATGACCCAGGGAGGCCAGCTGGGCAGGACTACCGTGTGGCTTTAGGCAGGGCCTTGCCGCCCCACGGCCTGGTCAAGAAGGTGCTCAGCAGGTGCTGGTGGGGCTGAGACATGACTCAGGGTCCACGGGTTCTCAGGCCAAAGGGGTCAGTCAGAAACACCCAGAAGCCCTTCCCAGTTTGGTCTCCTGGCCGCCCGTGATCGGCAACCCTCCTCCAGGTGGCTGGCTGCAAGTGTGACGGGGGCACCTTCGGCCGCTACTGCGAGGGCTCCGAGGATGCCTGTGAGGAGCCGTGCTTCCCGAGTGTCCACTGCGTTCCTGGGAAGGGCTGCGAGGCCTGCCCTCCAAACCTGACTGGGGATGGGCGGCACTGTGCGGGTGAGCCGGGAACAGGGCCTGGAGCAGGCGCTTCTGGGAGCAGCTGATAGCTCAAGGGTGTAGACAGCCAAAGGCAAACCATTTCTCTCCTTTTTCCAGCAGATCTTTAGAATGCTCAATCTAGGCAGGTGTGGGAAATCTAGGCAGGTGTGGGAAATCATCTAGGCAGGTATGGGAAATCTAGGCAGGCCTGGAAAGGGGGTGGTGGATGGTGTGGGGCTGAAGGAGAAGAGGTTGTACAGGCATAGGGGAGGGGACGGGGCTGGGCATCCCTGAGGCATTGATGGGGGGAGCCCCGGGCGAAAGACTGAAGATGGTTTGGGGAGGAGACTTCAGCAGCCGCCAGAGAACCGGGCAAGCTGGGTCCTCGGGATCCCTGGGGATCTTCAGAGACACGAGGCTCAGGATCTCTGCATCTCACGAGTCAGGACGTTTGGAGGGGCTGGCGTGGGGATCCGGCAGCAAAGGTGCCTGATTTTCCCTTTGAGTCCTCCCAGCCATCTGTTCCTCCCGCTCTGAGTCACCAGAGTCTGATGAGGGAGATCACAGCGAGGCCTTTACCAAGCCCCCTAAGGCACCCAAATAAAATCTACAGATCACTGTGCCTTCAGAGCCGAGGCCAGAGTGGGTAGAACCGCAGCTTTTATAAAGGCAGAAAAGGAGATGGACGTGAGAGGGGAGGGCGTGAGGAAAGCCAGCTGGGGGCCCCTCCTCTGCCAGCCTTCGGGGTCCTTTCTGAAGCAGAGGGTCTGAGAAACACTCCAGTCCCTCCACAAAAGTGGAAGAATACCTGTCTGGCCGGGGAAAGGGGTTGCCCTGCAGAGAAACGCCTGGAAAAGGGGGGAAGGATGGTTTGGGGTTCCGAGTGGCCCGAAGTGGAACACTGGGGGAAAGCAAGCCTGTCCCGGAGCGGGTTTCCACGGGCTGGGCCGTCCCTCTGCTGCCCTGCGCGCTGCTGCTGACCTCCCTACTCACTCTGCAGCTCTGGGGAGCTCTTTCCTGTGTCAGAACCAGTCCTGCCCTGTGAATTACTGCTACAATCAAGGCCACTGCTACATCTCCCAGACTCTGGGCTGTCAGCCCATGTGCACCTGCCCCCCAGCCTTCACTGACAGCCGCTGCTTCCTGGCTGGGAACAACTTCAGTCCAACTGTCAACCTAGGTACCGCCAGAGACCCCGCCCTCTCACCCCCGCACTCTTCCTGGGCCCCACCCTCTCACCCCCGCACTCCGCCCACCTTTGGGGAAGATGAGGAAGCTCTGGGGTCACAGGACAGAGCTCCAGATTTCTCTGGGATGGTGTAAGGTGCGGGCTATGGGAGCTGGCGAGGCAAGCTGTCACGGCAAGGACCACGGGCCTGTGTGGCCTATGGAGGAAGGACGGAGGCAGAGACCTCACAGCTGGCTCAGTGAGATGAGCGCTGGGGAGGCCCGGAGCATAGTGGAGTGAGCCCTAGCGTGAGGGCCACTTCTCCCGGTTTCTTCAGCAACCTTCTGTCACTGTGGAATGTAGGGTGAGGGCCACTTCTCCCGGTTTGCTCAGCGACCTTCTGTCACTGTGGAATGTAGGGTGAGGGCCACTTCTCCCGGTTTCTTCAGCGACCTTCTGTCACTGTGGAATGTAGGGTGAGGGCCACTTCTCCCGGTTTCTTCAGTGACCTTCTGTCACTGGAATGGAGCAGTCAACTTGGGCTGGCCCGACAGACTTTTTGGGTAAGTCTGGGTAAACCGTGGGGTGATGATACATTTGCTTCTCCCATCTCCAGAACTTCCCTTAAGAGTCATCCAGCTCTTGCTCAGTGAAGAGGAAAATGCCTCCATGGCAGAAGTCAACGCCTCGGTCAGTGCTGCAGGCCGCGCTCTGGGTGGGAGGGGGCGCTTGGCGGGTTCAGGCCAGGGCGGAACCATCGCTGTGCGGCCTTCATCTTGTCATCCATCTGGATTCAACTGCCAGAGGAGGCCGGAGCCTCTTGCCCCATGGGAGGTGCAGGGCATTAGGAAGTGAGGAAGGCCCAAGACAGAAACCTCGACTCATCATAAGCAGAGGCCAGGGTGCCAAGTCACCCCAGCCGAGACCTCTAAGCATCTTGGTTATGATCTGAAAGAAACTAAAGGACATTTCACCTCCCGGGAGTCTTCCCTGACTTCCCAGAGGGAACGGGCGGCTCCCTCTTCTTGGCTGCCATGCCATACCTCAGTCACAGGCAAAGTGGCACAACTGCTGAGTGGTTGGGGCTGTAGAATCCTGCACACCCAGAATCAGAATCCCTGCTCTGCCCCTCACTAGAGCAGGTGTGCTAACTAGACACATCATATAACAGGTCATCTGTAAACACAGGGACAATCATAGCACCTGAGTCAACAGGCCGTATCACCGTTTAAATGATAACGCGTGTCAAGCATTTAGTCCAGTGCCTGACACACAAGTATTCAAACATGATGACTGCTATTATCACTACTGCAAGCCTAGCACTCCCCACTCCACACTCCACACGGTAAAATCTGTTGACATTTGTCACCTGCGCCAGACAATGCACTCTTTGAGTTTAGACTCCACCTAAGTCACCTTGACACCCCCAGCCCCGACCATCTCCTAGGTCTAAACAACCCATGTTCAATATACTGGGGAGGAGGTCATGAGTCATGTGTCAGAGGCAAGGTAGGGGCCATTCATGTCAGATTCTCTGCTCGTCATATGAGGCTGAGGGGGGGACAGAATGGAAAACCCTTCACTCTCAACAAACATTATTAAGCAAGGACCCATGACACTCACTGAGCTAGGCTAGAGTGCAAGGGTGCAGAGACAGGTGAGGAAGGTGCTGGGGTCCTGGGGCTCCCGTTCCAGGAGGAAACAGGGATGAATACACCCATCAAGGTGGGAGGGCGTCTCCCCCCCGGATGGGGCCTCACCCCCACCCCCATCTGCCATCCTCTAACCTAGGTGGCATACAGACTGGGGACCCTGGACATGCGGGCCTTTCTCCGCAACAGCCAAGTGGAACGAATGTAAGTGGGACTGTGTCCCCCTAAGCCCCCAGATCTCTTCCTCATCCCCCACCCCCAGCCCCCCACCCCCCCTCACCGTTGCCCTCCCACACAGCGATTCTGCAGCACCGGCCTCGGGAAGCCCCATCCAACACTGGATGGTCATCTCGGAGTTCCAGTACCGCCCTCGGGGCCCGGTCATTGACTTCCTGAACAACCAGCTGCTGGCCGCGGTGGTGGAGGCGTTCTTATACCACGTTCCACGGAGGAGTGAGGAGCCCAGGAACGACGTGGTCTTCCAGCCCATCTCCGGGGAAGACGTGCGCGATGTGACAGCCCGTGAGTCCGTCCATTCCGGGGACACTATGGGGGTCACTGCGGGGGGCGGGCAAACAGAGGTGCTTCAGCCCACACAAACAAGCTAATTGAGTTTTTCTGTTTGTTTGGTTTTGAGCGAAAACGTGAACATTTTGTCCAGCTGCTTTTTAGATTCGAGAGCAGGAGCAGCCAGCACTGCTGAGGCAGTCACACGTATACAGCTTCACGGAGCAAGCACCCAGCCAGGGCCTTGCTGACTGTGGCTGCTAATAAAACAGCAGCAATTTAGTTTCATAAAATTGCTAATAGTTTTCTTAAAATGCCATTGCACTTAAGCATACACAGGGACACCCCCATCGTCTCTGCTCTCCAGCGGGAGGATATGAAGCTGGAGACTGGAGACTGGCCAGGGACAGAGGCAACTACTCCCTGAAATGGTGTCACCCTGTGCAAGCACCTTCCCCAGGCCAGGCCAGGCCTCAACACCCCCCAGCACCTTCCCCAGGCCAGGCCAGGCCTCAACACCCCCCAGCACCTTCCCCAGGCCAGGCCTCAACACCCCCCAGCACCTCCCCGAGGCCAGGCCTCAACACTCCCCAAGCACCTTCCCCAGGCCAGGCCTCAGCACCCCCATCTGAAAATGAGATGGGATTTCTGAGCCCCCTTTCAGTGCTGACAGCCCCCGGTTTTCCTGGAACAGGAATAAGTTGGCAAGCTTGTCAGAGAAACAAAGGAATAACACGTCCTATTTTCTGTATAGGGCAGAGAACAGGGCAGGGGCCGCCCCAAACACAACAGGAACTGCTGTTTTACTTGGGTCTGGGACCAAGCAAGAGCTTCTCCCAGAATCCAGGCTAAGCCCGCTCTCTCCCGGAGCAGGGGGTGAAATCCCTCAGAACTACTGTATGTTGGGGAGTTGGGGTAGGAGGCGCAGGGAGGCAAGCCCTGACTATGCAATTAAGGAAAACCTATAATTTTTATTATACAAGCATCGTATGTTTATTGCAGAAACTTTAGGAAACACAAACTTAACAAAAAGAAAAGAGGAAAAAAACCCTGTAATCCCAATCCCCAGAGAGACAACAGTATTTCCTACATATCCTTCTGAACTTTCTTTTATGCCTAGGAACCTTCAGACATCCATTTTTTACTGAAGGATCAAATCATTCCTAATGTTGGAAAACCTCCTCATTAAACAGTTGTGAACAGGTTGTCTCATATATTCTGTCCACATTCCCATTTGACATATTATGATGGTATGTTTGAATATAGTGTCATATTTTAAAATACATTATAATAATCATTACCATTGTTTGAGTGCTTACTGTGTGTCCGGCACTGTACTGAGTACTGTGGACACATTATCTCATTTAAATCTCACAGCAGCATAAGTGCTATTATGATCATTTCCTTTTAAAGATAAGGAAACTGAAGCTGAAAGAGTGAAGGAATGTTCCCTGAATTACACATCTAGTCACTAGCAGAGTTTCAGTTTCCACCCAAGTCTGGCCACCTTCAAAGCATGTGCTCTTCAGGAAAGCATTTTCCATAGGAACCTTTTTCCACAGGAACCTTTTTCCCTAGGAACCTTTTTCCCTAGGAAACTTTTTCCATAGGAAGCACCATCCCTTGGTAAGGATGTGCAGTAGTTTATTTAACCAGACCCTACTTCTGAAACGTTACTATTATCCACCATGCTGATCTGAACGTCCAGGGGCATATGTATCTGTGCACTTCTCCAATTATTTCTCAGGATAAACACCCGAAAAGGAATTCGTGGCTGAAAAGGTACTGATTTAGTGTTCATCGGTTGCTTTCTGTGTTAATCTGTGTCCTTCCCGACAGTGAACGTGAGCACGCTGAAGGCTTACTTCAGATGCGATGGCTACAAGGGCTACGACCTGGTCTACAGCCCCCAGAGCGGCTTCACCTGCGTGTCCCCGTGCAGTAGGGGCTACTGTGACCATGGAGGCCAGTGCCAGCACCTGCCCAGTGGGCCCCGCTGCAGGTGCATAGGGCTGTGGCCAGGAGGTGGAGGACAGTGCTGGGGAACCCAAGCTGGGCAAGACACTGCAAGGGGTCCAGGAATTAGGATGGCTCGAGAGATCAGAGACCAGGGAAGAGAGGACAGTGGAAAAGGAGAGTTGTGAGTGCCTGCTCTGTGTGGAGAATAAAGGCGCTATATTACAAACTCTGAAACCCAAAAGAGCCATAGGGGGGCTTAGAACTATTTCGAAGATGAGAAAACTGCAGCTTAGAGATGACAAGGAACCTGCCCCAGGACGCAGTAGGTTAAGCAGCAGGGCATGGTTTCCAAAGCCAAACATTTTTTATATTTTTATGTTTTGAGATGGAGTGTCATTTGTCGCCCAGGCTGGAGTGCAGTGGTGCGTTCTCGGCTCACTGCAACGTCCTTCTCCCGCGTTCAAGCGATTCTCCTGCCTCAGCCTCCCGAGTAGTTGGGACTACAGGCATGCACCACCACGCCCAGCTGATTTTTGCATTTTTAGTAGAGACGGGGTTTCGCCATGTTGGTCAGGCTGGTCTCGAACTCCTGACCTCAGGTGATCCGTCCACCTTGGCCTCCCAAAGTGCTGAGATTACAGGCGTGAGCCACCGCGCCAGGGCCCAAAGTCAAACCCTCCCACCTGATCTGGCTGCTGCTTCCCTGCTGTCTCCTTGTGGGAAAAGAACCTGCAGTCCTGTGTCTAGGCCAGTCCTGCCCCTCAGTCAAGCGAGGCGCCTTTGCCCCTGCCCTCATCAGCAGTCCCCGGGGCTCCGCTGGTTAACAGCGCAGGAAGCCGCGGCCCCACGCAGACCTGGGCTCCGGGCCCTCCGCCAGCTGCAGTTCCAGATCCCGCCGAAGGAGGGGGCGGGCGGAGCGCGGGTGGGGCGGGGCCCGGCTCTCCGGGTGGGCGGGGCGGGGCGGGGCCGGGCTGGGGCGGGGGTGTGACTGCGCATGCCCACCTGTGGCCGGCATCCCTGCCGCCCAGGTGCAGCTGACTGCACGTGCAGCTGAATTCACACCAGGTTTTTGTTTTTGTTTTTTGAGACGGAGTCTTGCTCTGTCCCCCAGGCTGGAGTGCAGTGTTGCAATCTCGGCTCACTGCAACCTCCACCTCCCAGGTTCAAGCGATTCTGCCTCAGCCTCCTGAGTAGCTGGGATTACAGGTGCGCACCACCACGCCTGGCTAATTTTGTATTTTTAGTAGAGATGGGGTTTCACCGTGTTGGCCAGTCTGGTCTCGAACCCCTGACCTCAAGTGATGCGCCCGCCTCAGCCTCTCAATGTGCTGGGATTACAGGCGTGAGCCCCCGCGCCGGCCCAGGCCCATGTTTTTAAAGCCCACACCTGCCTCCTTTGCCCAGTGGTCTCACTTCAGCACGGCCTCAGGGCTGACTCAGTCTCTCCGGAGAGTGGGGCGAGCCCAGCCTCTCCTACAGAACCTCTTCTTCCCCAGCAGAAGAGGAGGGGCTGGGAGGCTGAGCTCCCGCCTCTGACCGCCTGTCTGTCTCTCTTGGTCACCAGCTGTGTGTCCTTCTCCATCTACACGGCCTGGGGCGAGCACTGTGAGCACCTGAGCATGAAACTCGACGCGTTCTTCGGCATCTTCTTTGGGGCCCTGGGCGGCCTCTTGCTGCTGGGGGTCGGGACGTTCGTGGTCCTGCGCTTCTGGGGTTGCTCCGGGGCCAGGTTCTCCTATTTCCTGAACTCAGCTGAGGCCTTGCCTTGAAGGGGCAGCTGTGGCCTAGGCTACCTCAAGACTCACCTCATCCTTACCGCACATTTAAGGCGCCATTGCTTTTGGGAGACTGGAAAAGGGAAGGTGACTGAAGGCTGTCAGGATTCTTCAAGGAGAATGAATACTGGGAATCAAGACAAGACTATACCTTATCCATAGGCGCAGGTGCACAGGGGGAGGCCATAAAGATCAAACATGCATGGATGGGTCCTCACGCAGACACACCCACAGAAGGACACTAGCCTGTGCACGCGCGCGTGCACACACACACACACACAAGAGTTCATAATGTGGTGATGGCCCTAAGTTAAGCAAAATGCTTCTGCACACAAAACTCTCTGGTTTACTTCAAATTAACTCTATTTAAATAAAGTCTCTCTGACTTTTTGTGTCTTCAAAACCAGGAATTCCATTCCTGATTTTCTTCTGGTGGCCGAAGGGCTGGACACAGACTTCTCCCAACCATCAGAGGGCACAGAGTGTGGAGGTTAAGTGCTGGGCAGCAGTGGAGCATTAGGGGCAGCTGGATCCAGTCCTAATCAGCCCCGTTACCCATGCTGGAAACCCTCAGTTGCTCCACCCCAACCTTGCTTCATGCTCCACATCACCTTCTTCTTCCCCCACCCCAGCACAGGCCAAAGCTTCGCCCGCTAAGGAGGAGAGCGAAAGAGATACCCCAAGATGGAGTGCCCCAGACTCTCTCCCAGGACCCCTCCCTGCCTGCCTGTCCATCAGTTTCACAAAAGTTGTAAAAGGATCAATGCACAGTGTGTTTACCTGTCTGGTGGCTGTCCCCACCGCCTGCGTTTCATGGAAGAGCGATTAAACCATTTCAGCTCCCTTTCCAGGAACCAACTCAAGAAACATGCCACCACCCCACCCTTAGATCTGGAGGGCCCGACCCCTCATATACCCTCTCTGTCCTTTCCCGGACCCCAGATGGAGTCTTCTGAGGTTCTCCATCCCACAGCCCTTCACCTCTACCCTGCCTCCACTTGCCCCAGCAACCTGATCAGCTTCCACAGAATCCTCTCAGCAGGCGGGACTTTTACACCTATCTGGTGTAATAACTCCAACACAATTGGTCCACAATTCCTGTGTCTAGAAAATCTCAATTCCAACTTTATGCAGAAACTAGGTAGCTGCCTCTTAGTTCTAAATCCCAAATCCCTGAAGAGAGAATCTGACTGGTCCAATTTACATCAGTTGTTTATGCCTGGTCCAATAAAATGTAGTCATGGGGTCAGAAAGGAGGTCACATGGTGCAAAGCAGGTGTTCAAGCTCATTCTTGCGGGTGGGTAAGTGCTGTTGAAGGAAGCTCCCAAAGGAATATCTTTGGTTGGGCACGGTGGCTCACGCCTGTAATCCCAACATTTTGGGAGGCCAAGGCGGGCAGATCACTTGAGGCCAGGAGTTTGAGACCAGCCTGGCCAACATAGTGAAACCCTGTCTCTACTAAAATACAAAAATTCGCTGGGCGTGGTGGCACACGCCTATAATCCCAGCTACTCAGGAGGCTGAGGCAGGAGAATCTCTTGAACCCAGGAGGCGGAGGTTGCAGTGAGCTGAGATTGTGCCACTGCACTCCAGCCTGGGCAACAGAGCAAGACTCTGTCTCAAAAAAAAAAAAAAAAAAAAATATATATATATATATATATAAAGAATATATATATAATCTTTGTATTAGGGTTCCCTAGAGGGTCAGGACTAATAGGATAGATGTATATATAAAGGGGAGTTTATGAAGGAGTATCGACTCACACGATCACAAAGTGAGGTCCACAATAGGCTGTCTGCAAGCTGAGAAGCAGGGAAGCTAGTCTGAATCCCAAGATCTCAAAAGTAGGGAAGCCGACAGTGTAACCTTAAGTCTGTGGCAGAAGGCCCAAGAGCCCCTGACAAACCACCAGTGTAAGTCCAAGAGTCCAAAAGCTGAAGAACTGGAAGTCCGATGTTTGAGGGCAGGAAGCATCCAGCACGGGAGAAAGATGAAGGCTGGAAGACTTAGCCAGTGTAATCCTTCCACATTCCTCTGCCTGCTTTATTCTGGCTATGCTGGCAGCTGATTAGATTGTGTCCACCCAGACTGAGAGTGAGCCTGCCTCTCCCAGTCCACTGATTCAAATATTAGTCTCCATTGCCAACACCCTCACAGAGAGACACCCAGGAACAATACGTTGCATCCTTCAGTCCAATCAAGTTGACACTCAATATTAACCTTCACAGTCTTTGATCTGAGCAGACTCCAAACTTACATGGAGAATGACTTCTCCCAATAGGTGAAGCCACTCTCCTACATACAAAGCTGTAGCTTTACCCTCATATGCCCCAAAGTGGAATGTAATGAAGTCTCCATACAAAACTGCAGTCACAGCATTCATTTATCAAGAAGCAAGCACACAGCACAGATGAGTTCGCTGGTGAATTTTAGCAGATATTTAAGGGGAAATAATACCTATTTTCTGCAATCTTTTCCAGAAGATAGAAGCAGGAGGAATACTTCCTAAGTCATTTGTCACTGTCACCCTAATGCCAAAACGGGACAAAGACATTACAAGACGACTATAGACCAATATATCTCACATAGATGCAAAAATTACCAACAAAATATTAGCAAATACAGTTCAACAATATGTAAAAAGAATTATAGGCCATGACCAACAGAGATTTATCCCAGGTATGCAAGACTGGTTCAATATTCAAAAATCAGCTAATGCAATCCGTTACATCAACAGGCTAGAGAAGAAAAATCACATGATCGGCCAGGCATGGTGGCTCACGTCTGTAATCCCAGCACTTTGGGAGGCCGAGGCAGGCGGATCACGAGTTCAGGAGATCGAGACCATCCTGGCTAACACGGTGAAACCCCATCTCTACTAAAAACACAAAAAATTAGCTGGGCGTGGTGGTGGGCGCCTGTAGTCCCAGCTGCTTGGGAGGCTGAGGCAGGAGAATGGTGTGAACCCAGGAGGCGGAGATTGCAGTGAGCCGAGATCACACCACTGCACTCCAGCCTGGGTGACAGAGTGAGACTCTGTCTCAAAAAATAAATAAATAAATAAATAAATAAATAAATAAATAAAAGAATATCTACAAAAACCTACAGCTAACATCATCCTTAACGGTGAGAAATTAGATGCTTTCCCCTAAGATTAGTAACAAGGCAAGAACGTCCCCTCTCACCATCGATTCTCAACATCCTGCTGGAGGTCTTGGCCAATGCAACTAGACACAAAAGGGAAATAAAAGGTATACAGAATAAAAAGGAAGAAACAAAACTGCTTTGTTCACAGATGACACAATCATCTATGTTAAAAAATCTAAGAGTTGACAAAAGGAAAAAACCCCAGAACAAAGAAGCAATTTCAGACAAGTTTCATGATATAAGGTTAGTGTCCTAACGTCAACAGCTTTCGTGTGTGCCAGCAAAGAACAATTGGAATTTAGAATTAAAAATATTTGAGCAAGACAGGAAACAAAAAAAGAAAAATGAATAATAAAATTAAATACATATGACCATTTACATTAGCATCCCCCAAAATGAAATACTGAGGTGTAAATGTAACAAAATATGTACAAGATCTATATGAGAAAAACTATAAAACTCTGATGAAAGATATCAAAGAACTTCATAAATGGGATGACATTCTATGTTTATGAACAGGAAGACTCTTTTTTTTTTTTTTTTTTGAGATGGAGTCTCCCTCTGTCACCCAGGCTGGAGTGCAGTGGCACCATCTCAGCTCACTGCAACCTCAGCCTCCCGGGTTCAAGCAATTCTCTTGCCTCAGCC
The DNA here is from genome assembly GCF_000001405.40 of Homo sapiens. Lineage (NCBI taxonomy): Eukaryota > Metazoa > Chordata > Mammalia > Primates > Hominidae > Homo > Homo sapiens. The sequence continues at coordinate 51,364 of NT_187690.1, forward strand.
TCATGAGTAGCTGGGATTACAGGCACACACCACCACGCCTGGCTAATTTTTTTTTGTATTTTTAGTAGAGATAGGGTTTCGGCATTTTGGCCAGGCTGATCTCAAACTCCTGACCTCAGGTGATCCACCCTCCTCGGCATCCCAAAGTGCTGGGATTATAGGTGTGCGCCAGCACAACAGGCCAGAAGACTCAATATTATTAAGATAGCAGTTCTCAATATTATCAAGATAGCAGCAGATCAAGATAGCCAACTTGATCTACAGATTCTACATAATGACACAATCTTAATCAAAATCCCAGGAAGTTATTTGTAGATATGGATAAACTGGCTCTAAAGTTTATGTGGAGAGGCAAAAGATCCAAAATAGCCAAATCAATATTGATGGAGAATGGTCAGAGGACTGATACCACCTGACTTCAAGGCTTACTCTAAAGCTATAGTCATGAAAGCAGCATGATACTGGCAAAAGAATAGACAAATAGATCAATGGAACAGAATAGAGAGCCCAGAATATTAAAAGTAATATTTCTAATAGACCTGTATAAATGTGTCAACTGATCTTTGACAAAGCAGCAGAGGCCACACAATGGAGCAGAGATAGTGTTTTCAATAAATGACGCTGGGACAACCGGACATCCACAAGCAAAAAAAAAAAAAAAAAAAAAAAAAAAAATCTAGACACAGACCTTATACCTTTCATAAAAACTCAAAATGAATCATAAACCTCAATAAAATGCAAAACTGTAAGACTCCCAGAAGATAATATAGGAGAAAATCTAAATGACCTTGAGTATGGTGATGACATTTTAGATACAATAGCAAGGGCATGATCCATGAAGGAAATAATTGATGAGCTGAACTTCATTAACATTAAAAACTTCTTCTCTGTGAAAGGCAATGGCAAGAGAATGAAAATATTTGCAAAAGTCCCATCTGATTAAAGACTTTTATCTAAAATATACAAAGAGCCGGGTGCACTGGCTCAGACCTGAAATCCCAGCACTTTGGGAGGCTGAGGTAAGCGGATCAATTGAGGTCAGGCGTTGGAGACCAGCCTGGCCAACATGGTGAAACCCTGTCTCTACTAAAAATACAAAAATTAGCTGGGTGTGGTGGCGGGCGCCATTACTACTACCAGTAGTAGTAATCCCAGCTACTCAGGAGGCTGAGGCAGGATAATCACTTGAACCCAGGAGGCGGAGATTGCAGTGAACTGAGATCGCGCCACTGCACTCCAGCCTGGGCAACAGAGTGAGACTCTGTCTCAAAAAATATTAATTAATTAATTAAATATACAAATAACTCTTACAACTCAACAATAAGAAAATGAACAACCCAGTTTTTTAAATGGGTAAAAAAACTGAACATACATATCACCAAAGAAGACATTCACATGGCACATAAGCATCTACAAAGATGTTCAACATCGTATGTCATTAGGGAACCGCAAACAACGCGAAACCCATGCACACCCGTTAGAATGACCACAATCGCCAGGCATCGTGGCTCACAACTGTACTCAATACACACCTGTTAGAATGACCACAGTCACCAGGCACTGTGGCTCACACCTGTACTCCCAGCACTTTGGGAGGCTGAAGCAGGAGGATCACTGGAGCCCAGGAGTTTGAGACCAGCCTGGGCAACAAAGCAAGATCCCATCTCTACAAAAAATTAAAAAATTATATGGGCACGGTAGCATGTGACTGTGGTCCCAGCTACTCTGGAGGCTGAGATGGCAGGATTGCTTGAGCCCAGGAGGTTGAGGCTGCAGTGAGCCGCGATCCAGCCTTCACTCCAGCCTGAGCAATGGAGTGAGACCCCGTCTCAAAAGAAAAAGAAAAAAAGAATGATCAAAATCCACAGCACTGAAAACTTCAAATGCTGTTCAGGATGTGGAGCAACAGGAACCCTCCTTCATTGCTGGTGGGAAGGCAACATGGTACAACCACTTTGGAAGACAATTTGGCAGTTTCTTTTTTTTTTTTTTTTTTGGAGATGGAGTCTGGCTCTGTCGCCCAGGCTGGAGTGCAGTGGCACGATCTCGGCTCACTGCAAGCTCCGCCTCCCGGGTTCACGCGATTCTCCTGCCTCAGCCTCCTCAGCAGCTGGGACCACAGGCGCCCGCAATTTGGCACTTTCTTACCAAACTAAACCATACTCTTACTATGCAGTCCAGCAATCACACTCCTTGATATTTACCCAAAGGGACAGAAAACGTTTTTGTCCACACGAAAACCTGCACATGGAGGTTTATAGCAGCTTTATTCATAATTTATAGCAGCTTTATTCATAATTGCCAAAACTTGGAAGCAACCAAGATGTCCTTCAGCAGGTGAACGGGTAAATAACCTATGGTGCATTCAGACGATGGAATATTATTCAGTGCTAAAATGAAATGAATTACACAGCCATGAAAATACATACAGAAAACTTAAATGCATATACTATGTGAAAGAAGACAATCTGAAAAGGCTATTTACCTTACGGTTGCAATTATATGACATTCTGGAAAAGGTAAAACTATGGAGACAGTGAAAAGATCAGTGGTTGCCAGGGGTTGGGGATGAATAAGTGAAGCACAGAGGATTTTTAGGGCACTGAAACTACTTATTTTTCTGTATGATGCTACAATGGCAGAAACATTTATGTTATTTTTTGAGATTGAGTCTCACTCTGTCGCCCAGAATGGAGTGCAGTGGTGCGATCTCTGCTCACTGCAACCTCCACCTCCCGGGTTCAAGCGATTCTCCTGCCTCAGCCTTCCATGTAGCTAAGACTACAGGCATGCGCCACCACACCCGGCTAATTTTTGTATTTTTAGTAGAGATGGGTTTTCGCCGTGTTGGCCAGGCTGGTCTCGAACTCCTGATCTCAAAGAGATCCACCCGCCTCCACCTCCCAAAGTGCTGAGATTACAGGCATGAGCCACTGCGCCGGGCCAGCCGATACGTTGTTGAATAGAGAATGGAGAATATCCAACGCCAAAAATGTGCTGTCAACTCTGGACTTTGATGAGGATATGTTGACGTGGACGCATCGACTGTCACACGTGCCACCTGGTGCAGGGCGTTGGTGGTGGGGGAGGCTGGGCGTAGGTATATGTGTGTGTGGCAGGGGGCATATGGGAACTTTCTGTATTTTCCACTCAGGAAAATTTTGCTGTAAACCCAAAACTGCTCTAAAAAGCAAATTTTATTATTTAAAAGATGATTTTAAAATTAATATATTTAAATTTTTAAAAGAATTAAGCACACATGGCACTAAGGGGGCGGCTAGGGAGCCAACCATCCATCAGTTGTGAGGAAGGGGGAGGCCTGCAGGCATGAAGGAGCTGGTGAGACCGCCCTCACCTGGCTGCCAGAATCCCAATTCCATGAGGACCTTGTCATGTGACTCAAAGTCAGAGACAGCAGAAGGTCCAAAAGTTACAACTTACCTGAAACCCACCAGGCACTATTGGCAAAGGATTCACCCCCACCATGGAAGGCACGTGAGCGCTGTGGGTGCCCTGTGTCATCAACTGCGGAGAAAGGAAACCAGAAAGAGCAAAAGCAAAGCAGCGAGTGGGGAGCAGAACCGCCCCAAACCCAAGGTCCCTCCTCCCCTGTCCACCTTCACACACTAAGCAATGGAGGGAGCGGGAGGACAGAGCCTGTGTTTGATGGACAGCTCCTCCCGAGGCAGAGGAGAGGCCCAATACCTGGGAGAAGGCTGGGAGCTTGCTACCCCTGAAGGAGACCCGCAGATTGGAGGGAAGAGAGGAGCCAGGGACCCTCGTGGGAGAGGATGCATTAAAAGTAGGGCTGTCTGGGCCAGGTGTGTGGCTCACACCTGTAATCCCAGCACTTTGGGAGGCCGAGGCAGGCAAGTCACCTGAGGTCAGGAGTTCAAGACCAGCCTGACCAACATGGTGAAACCCTGTTTCTACCAAAAATATAACAAATTAGCTGGGCGTGGTGGCGCACACCTGTAATCCCAGCTACTTGGGAGGCTGAGACAGGAGAATCCCTTGAAACCAGGAGGCGGAGCTTGCAGTGAGCCGAGATGGCACCACTGCACTCCAGCCTGGGTGACAGAGTGAGACTGGGTCTCAATAATAATAATAATAATAATAATGAAAGTAGGGCTGTCCAATTTAGCAAATGAAAATACAAGCAGCCCAGCTTAAATTTCAGATTAACCACAAATAATTGTTTTAGTTTAAAGATATCCCATGAACTATTTGGAACATTCTTGTATATTTTTAAGTGTTCACCGTTTATCCGAGGTTCTCATTTAAGTGGCTGTTCTGTGTTTTCTTGGTGAGCCCAGTCAAAGCCGCTGAGGCCCTGACAGCACGGGAGGAGGAGGCGTCCCAAGAAAGGAGAGGGCACCTGGGGACACCCTTCTCTAGCTGGACAGGGAGCTGCCCCTTCACGAGTGGGACAGTCAGAAGGACAAGGACACAACCATCCATTTTCGTCAGCTCATTCCCTGGCTACAAGTGGTCTGGATTCTGTCGCTTTGGCCCCTGGAATAAAATAACTGACTGACCCTTCCCCAGGGTGCCAGGTGTGAGTTTGCTTGGAAGAGAGAAGGGTGCAGACCCCCGACCCCTGCTGGTGGCAGCAGCTGGGACACCTTCAGTGGGCTCGAGAGTGGCAAAAGGAGCTATCTGGGGCAAAGCTTGGCCAAAGACACAGACTCCCTTGCCCATTCTTCCCTGCTTCAAAGGAGCCTTCCAGAAACTCCCCACAGGCCTGAAGTAAGTGGCTTAATGACTGGGATGATGAGTGATAGGTCACTGGCATGATGCACCCCTTTACGCATTTACTGGCACCAGAAAGTGATATCATGGCCACTATTAAAGTGTGGGGCGCACCCACGGAATTCGTTTCCATTCAAATGCTTTGCATACTTTGGTGGCCAATCCCCCTCTCAAGGGATGAAGGCAGGACTGGCTGTGGCAGAAGCTTCAGATGAGGTCTCTGGTCAGAGAAGTTCCACCTCACGTTGTCTTCATCATTGCTGTGGAGTTTCGCCGTCTCAGAGCTCACACCAAGTCACAGGTGACTTTAGACAGGCCATCTTGTTTAGGTCCATGCTTAAATTTGTCTTTATAAAACGTGGCATTTTTACCTCATATACACACACTTTAGAATCTTAAATAGCTGGAGAGTTTTCTCCAGGGACTTCTGGCTCCTGTTAGCTTGGTAACATTACTCCTGCTAACTTTGGTCATCTCCAGTAATACAGGCGTGCACACACACACACACACACACACACACACACACACAGTCTCTCTTCCTCTTTATTGTCCCCCCCCAACCCACCCACATGCAATCATAATGATACATTTTAGTTCCCAAATGCTTCTAATTTGTGTCGTTCTTGTTGACGTTTTGAGACACGGTCTCGCTCTGTCACCAGGCTGGAGTGCAGTGACGCAATCTCAGCTCACTGCAACCTCCGCCTCCCAGGTTCAAGTGATTCTCCTGCCTCACCCTTTTGAGTAGTTGGGATTACAGGCACCTGCCACTATGCCCAGCTAATTTGTGTATTTTTAGTAGAGACAGGATTTCACCATGTTGCCTGGGTTGGTCTCAAACTCCTGGCCTCAAGTGATCCGCCTGCCTCGGCCTCTCAAAGTGCTGGGATTACAGGCATGAGCCACCGCACCCAGTCTCTAATTTGTGTATCCCATATTTTACAGATTTTTTAAGCTAGTCAAATTTTACAATTTTTTTACTTCCAAAAATAGCAGTAATCAGCATCATATGTACATGTCCGTGTCCTCATATGTAGTAATTAAGATTACATGAGCCACTGTATTAAGTATCACCCACTTGAGGAAATACAAAGCAAGAGAAGAAAACCTATTTAAGAATTGGGTTTATATAACAGTGGTGTTGTCATTTTTGTAAACTGCTCTCCATTCATGCCAAATTATAGAGCAGCTTCGGAACAATTATATCATTAAATTTACGTTTTGTGTGATTTCAGTACTGAATGCCCTTTTCTTAACTTTCAGAGCCCACTGAAAGTTTCGGGGCTCACGTGGCCCACCATTGTCCCAGTCACTCAGCAAACACATCAGTGCCCTCATGTGGAGGGCTCCACGCCAGCTTCTGTGATGACAGAGGTGAATACTACCGGCTGCTTGTCCTCGAGCACGTACAATGTAACAAACTTGTAAATAAAATAAGCACATTATAATACAGCATGTTAAGTGTTACAACAGAAACACAAGAGACCAGAAAATCAGCACCTCTGTAGGGAATCTGATGAAGTCATGGAGAGGTGCCATCTGAACTGGGCTTTGAGGAATGAATAGGAGTTTTCCAGGTGAAGGGACCAGGGGGAGGAATCATGATGGGCAGACGCTCCAGATGAAAGCAGGTGTGCCTGGGGTTAGCGAGCTGCTTCCTGTGCAAGCAGCATAGGATATGGAAGATGGGGCCGTGACCTGGAGCTAAGATAGTTGGCTGAGGCCATATCATGAAGACCCTTGCATACGAAGGTGGGGATTCCATCCTGGAGGTAGGAACAGGAGTAGCTTTGATTTGGGAGAGGAAAGCTCTGCAGATGGTGTAAAAGGTAGGTTGGAGTTAAAAAAATTTTTTTTAAGTTCCATTTTAAGAAAAAAGAAGATAAAATAACATTTCATGAATTTTTTTCTGTCCTAATAAATATATGTTTCAACAATGCTTCTGTAGCTTGCGTAAAATAACGCTATAGTGTTTAAGCAAACTGTTACATGGGGAGATTTGAGGTTACTTGTGTTTTGTTTTGCCTTTTTCATCTATGAGTTATTGTAAACAGTTAGGCACAGATTCTAAATTACTTCCTTAAGATAAATCAGTAACGAAACTGCTGAGTTAAAGGTATGTACATTTTTCGGGCTTTAAATAAATCAGTTAAATTGTCCTCCGGAAAGGTTGTACCAATTTCTTCCCTACTAGGAGTGTTTAAGAATGCCCGTTTGCCCAGCACCCAGTATAGATCAGTACAGACATACAATAAGCAATATCTCACTGTATTAATGGACCTGTTTTTGCTACTGAAGTCACACGTTCTTTTTCATGGGGGGTGGTGGCGGGAGGAGAGGACATTTGTATTTCTTCTTTTGTGAATTACCTGTTGCCATTTACCCATTTTTCTACTGGTACGTTTGCCTTTTTATTTTCTTGCGCTGTAAGAGTTCTCTATATATTAAGGGCATCCTGTTGTTGCTATATGCGGTGTAAATAAGTTCTTTCAACTTATTATTGCTGTACGTGTCTAACTTCAATCCCTGGGAGAAGAGACAGATTTGAATCCTCCACGGCACATAGCTCAGTCTCTCTTCTGCGGCAGCTGCCCAACATATATGCCAAGATGAGCGAATTATTTTTGTCCAAGCTACTTTATGAAACTCATTCTGCTCCACTCCAGAAATGGAAGGGATCCATCAAACGTTCAGACTCCCCTTGCTCACAGCAGCATCAACACAGTCTCCTTGTTTCCTTCATTCATCTAACAAATGTTTACTGAGCCCCTGGTATGTGCCAGGTACTGTTCTTGGCACTAGGGAAACCATAATGGGCAAAATCTTTCATTCTAGTTGGAGGACTCAGATAATAAAGAAAACAAAATATGTATGACGTTCAATTGTGATCAGCACTATAAAGTACGTCAAAGTACAGAAGGGGAGACTGAATTTGTAGGCAGCATGGTCATGGTAGACCTCGCTGAGAAGGGGCATGAAGGTGGAGGTAGAGGGTTTAGACAAGTGGATATGTAGAGGAGAAGGCTTCTGAGCAGACTAAGCAATGCACAGAAAGGTCCCAAGGCAAGAGCAGGCCCAGCGCATTGAAGGGACAAGAAAGACGTCCATGTGGCTGCGGTGCAGTCAGCAAATTAAGGAGGCAGGGGAGGGGCGCAGGTCGTGCACGGCTTTGCAGCTGTTGTCGGAGCTTTTCTTCTGAGTGAAATGGGAGGATTGGAGCAAAGAAGTGGTGTGTTCTGCCTTATGTTGTAAAAAGACAGCCCTGGCTGACACACTGGGACTAGACTGGGGTGGGGGCTGAGCTGGAAACAGGGAGACCTGTAGTAGTGCAGGTGAGAGATGATGGCATCGTGGACCATCTCGGTGGTAGCACTGGAGATGCTGAGGAGGGGCCACATTCTGGGCACAGTTTGATGGCCTTAGAGCCAGCAGAATTTCCTGGTGCAAAATGTGAGAGGAGAATAAAGAACGGTGCTGAGGATTTCGGCCTGAGCACCTGAAGGATGCAACTGACGTCAACTGAGATGGGGAAGATGCAGGTGGGGCAGGTCCAGAGGAAAAGATCAGAACTTCGATTTTAGAAATGTGGAGGCCAGGAGCGGTGCTCATTAACTGGAATCCCAGCACTTTGGGAGGCCGAGGTGGGTGGATCACTTGAGGTCAGGAGTTTGAGACCAGGCTGGCTGACACGGTGAAACTCCGTCTCTACTAAAAATACAAAAAATTAGCCGAGCATGGTGGTGGCACCTGTAGTCCCAGATACTCAGGAGGCTGAGGCAGGAGAATCACGTGAACCCAAGAGGTGGAGCTTGCAGTGAGCTGAGATCACGCCACTGCACTCCAGCCTGGGTGACAGAGCCAGGCTCCTTTCCATCTCAAAAAGAAAAAAAAAAAGAAAGAAATGTTGAATGTGAGGTATGTATTTCATCAACATCCAAGTGGAGAGATTAAGAATTGAAATGAATACACAGTATACATTAATAATAATAGCTGTATATAAGGCTGGGCACAGTGGCTCATGTCTGTAATCCCAGCACTTTGCGAGTCTGAGGCAGGAGGACTGCTTGAGCTCAGAAGATCGAGACCAACCTGGTCAACATGGTAAAGCCCCTTTTTTACAAAACAAAGTACAAAAATTAGCCAGCTGTGGTCCCAGCTCCTCAGGAGGCTGAGGTGGGAGGATCACTGGAGCTGGGAGGTGGAGGCTGCAGTGAGCCATGGTCGCACCACTGCACTGCAGTTTGGGTGAGAGTGAGACCCTGTCTCAATTTTAAAAAATAAATCGTTGTATCTAAGAGGTGGGATTATAGAAAAGTTTTTCTTTCTCCTCTTCCCACTTCTTACTTTGCTTGGTCTTTGGAATATTTCAAAATTTTGAAATCATAAACAAGTTTTACTTTTATTTTAAATTTATTTATTTATGAGACAGAGTCTTGCCCTTTTGCCCAGGCTGGGGTGCAGTGGTAGGATCTTGGGTCACTGCAACCTCTGCCTCCCGGGTTCAAGTGATTCTCCCGTCTCAGCCTCCTGGGTAGCTGGGATTACTGGCACCTGCCACCACACCCAGCTAATTTTCGTGTTTTTAGTAGAGACGGGGTTTCACCATGTTGGCCAGGCTAGTCTCAAACTCCTGACCTCGTGATCCACCGGCCTCGGCCTCCCAAAGTGCTGGGATTACAGGCGTGAGCCACTGAGCCTGGCCAAGTTTTACTTTTATAATAAAAAGTAAACCATATTAATTTTTTTAAAAAATAATAGCATGTAAGTTATAACATATAAGAGGAATAATTGAGGCTTGTGTCCAGAACTTGAAATTTAAATTTAGGTCAATTCCACATTCTCTGCGATCCCACTGCAGGCCAGACACTGCTAGTTCAGGGGATACTGAGATGAACAAAGGTGGTCCCTGCCCTGCCACAGCGGGCTGTTCGACAGGCTCCAGGCCCGTTTCAGTAAATGCTATCATCAAAGTCCAAACCAAGACCTGGGGGAGTAGAAGGAGGAGGTAGCAGTGAGACTATACACAATCCCTGTACTATAAAAATGGCGAAAGCATGCAGATCAATAGACAGCCTCTGGGCCACACTGAGTGAATTTTAATGCAGGATGGAAGCACACAGATGGGTGATCAGGTCTCTCTTTACTGAAACACAGAACATGTGCCAAGGTGAGTCCAAGGACACCTCTGGGAACAGGTGAAGCCCCTCCCCATACATACACTCCGGTGGATGTGAGCGAGGGTCCTGTTGCCACATCTGGGGTTAGGGGCTTGGACATGCTGCCCTTCATGGGAACCTTCTGGGTACCTCTCAGCACAGTAACGCAGCTGCAGTCTGTCGGTGGGGGCCCAGGCTAGGGGCAGCACCCTCTTTTGGCATACGGGACATGCCTGGCTGCAGCTGATGTCCGTTAGCCTCTCCTGACACGCAGTAAGGAGACCTGGAAGTGAGGCGCGTGGGCGTGGAGTTCCCGGTGGAGCTGGAGAGCAAAAGAGCCAGCTGTCCTTTCAGCCCATCTGGCCCATGAGCTCGCCAGAGGCAGAGGACAGGAAGGGACACTGGGGCAGAGTGCATGGGGAGGACGGCAACCCTTCCTGGGCCTCCTACATGCTGGACACAGGCTGGTGCCTCACACACATTATGTCATCTAAACCTCACAGCAACCTTATAAAGCAGGTGTTAGGATCCTCATTTTATAAGGGATGAAAGTCGCATAGAATAACTTATCCAAGATCACACAGTTGGGAACTAGAATTCACACCCAGATCTAGCTGGTTCCTAAGCTCATTGTCTAATCCCTGAGCCCAAACTGTTGGGCTGTCCCCGGACGAGAACTGATGCCCAACCCCATGTGGCCTGGTGCCTGCGCCTCAGCTGCCTGACCTGCTCCTGATCTCCCGGTTTCTTTCCGATTCCTGAAATCATTTCTGGTTTGGGGGCTTAGACCTGAGATTCAAAACTGGCTTCCCAGCCGGGTGCGGTGGCTCACGCCAATAATCCCAGTGCTTTGGGAAGCAGAGGCAGGTGGGTCACCTGAGGTCAGGAGTTCGAGACCAGCCTGACCAACATGGAGAAACCCCATCTCTACTAAAAATACAAAAATTAGCCAGGAGTGGTAGTGTGCACCTGTAATCCCAGCTACTAGGGAGGTTGAGGCAGGAGAATTGCTTGAATCCGGGAGGCGGAGGTTGCAGTGAGCCGAGATCGTGCCATTGCACTCCAGCCTGGACGACAGAGCGAGAATCTGTCTCAAGAAAAATAAAAGAAAAGAAAAGAAAAAGAAAAAGAAAAAGAAAACTGGCTTCCCAGCCGGGCGCAATGACTCAACGCCTGTAATCCCAGCACTTTGGGAGGCTGAGGTGGGTGGATCATGAGGTCAAGAGTTCAAGACTAGCCTGGCCAAGATGCTGAAACCTGAAACTCCATCTCTACTAAAAATACAAAAATTAGCCAGGTATGGTGGTGCGGGCCTGTAATCCCAGCTACTCAGAAGGTTGAGGCAGGAGAATGGCTTGAACCTGGGAGGCGGAGGTTGTGGTGAGCCAAGATCGCACCACTGCACTCCAGCTTGGATGACAGAGTGAGACTCAGTCTCAGAAAACAAAACAAAACAAAAGCAATTGGCTTCCCTCTCCCACAAGGATTCACACTCGCTACTTTGATTATCACATGCCGGGGGCATTTGTCACTTATTTGGCCATCGGGTGTCGAGCCCCCGTGCCATGTTTAGGGAACTCCTTACAGTGGGAGTCACGATCGGCCTCACTGCTGCTAAGAGAACTCCAAGGACGCAGACATCCCTTCTTCCCGTCCCCTGGCACCTGGCTGTGGGCTCATGGGAGTACAAGGGCTAAGCTCGGCCTATCAAATGTTCCTACTCAGGACTTTGGCTCTGGAGCAAAAAGTCCAGTGAGACAAAAAGGCAGCGAGAACCTATGTGAATGTGTGTGCAGGCCACGTGATGCCCCTTGGCTGTGGCAGCATCCAATAGTGACTGACCAGCAAGAGGGACAGTGTCCCAGCCAGCCTGATCCCACTGTCTGGACCCCAGAGCTCCTGGGGGCCCTCCTGCCTATTTTCCAAGCCTGCTGTCCTGGCATTGCTTTGATTCTATGCACTCTGGGACGCTGCCAACAAATCCCCCTTTTACTTACGACAGACAGAGGTTTTCTTTCGCCTGCAACAAAGGATCCCACTCTCCACGGACATATCTTGCTTCCCTCTGCTAAGGGCAATCATTCCACCTGTCCAGCCTGGCTATGAACTCTACACCTGGCATAAGACCCCCAGCCAGCATCTCTGCCAGGTTTACCCTTGCAAGGGATGACAGGAAGCCTGAGCCACTTTTCAGCAGTGTGGCACCCATTGACTGTGAGAGGTGCTGAATGCAAGCTTCAGGTATTAGCAAGGGCACTGTCCCATTGACTGTGAGAGGTGCTGAATGCAAGCTTCAGGTATTAGCAAGGGCACTGTCAAAGAGGCAATCCACATTAGACTGTGCACTGGGCCTGTTTTCACGGTTACATCTGTGAGCAGAGCTTAGACACTTCCCATCATGCCCCATCTGCTACTTTGTACCACACATTAGGAGAACAACCCACCCCTCAGTAAGGCCAGGCCCGTGACATCTGCACTGAGCTGACCCAGTCTAACCTCCAACAAGCCACACCATCCCCATCCTCAAAACCCTGACCCCGGAACTTTACCATTGGAAGTTCTATCCAGTGGGTTTTAGGAGAATTTTCCCAACTTGTACAAATACATCCCAATCATGGTCCTCATCTAGAGTATACATCTCTGCGGTTTTTTCTGCCTAGCCTCCCTATTTTCTTGGGGCTCATCCTTCCTCTATGGGATCCTGACTGGGTTGTCAGTCATGGTGACCCTTGCAGGCCATGGAGACCTGCACTTCCCCAGATGACATGAAAATTTGGGGAGAGGGGGCCGGGTGCGGTGGCTCATGTCTGTAATCCCAGCACTTTGGGAGGCCAAGACGGGTGGATCACGAGGTCAGGAGATTGAGACTATTCTGGCTAACACGGTGAAACCCCGTCTCTACTAAAAAAAAAAACATAAAAATTAGTTGGGCGTGGTGGCGGGCGCCTGTAGTCCCAGCTACTTGGGAGGCTGAGGCAGGAGAATGGCGTGAACCCAGGAGGCGGAGCTTGCAGTGAGCTGAGATCGCACCACTGCACTCCAGCCTGGGCGACAGAGCGAGACTTCGTCTCAAAAAACAAAAAGAAAGAAAGAAAAAGAAAAAAGAAAAGAAAATGTGGGGAGATGGAAGTCCCTTGTGAATCTATGGCTAACAAGGCTGCCTTTTCATACACATGAAGAAAGACTCTGAAGAATGAAGGGAGTAAAGCTAAGACAGGGAAAGAAAGAGAAAGTCCCTGTGATGGCGTTGGAGCTGCTGGATCCAGCCGTACTGAAGCTGAAGAGACACTTGTAGGTTTCTCAGACCTTGCCTTTTTTTTTTTTTTTTTTTTTTTTTGCATAAACTGCCCTGACTTGGGTTTCTGCCACTTGCAACCAAGAGTCCGACCTACCCTCCCATCAGTATCACTGACCTTTGCCTCAGAGGCCAGAAGGCCAAGCTTCCAAGGACCAGAAGAAACTGGGGGCTCTAGGAGTCACATGTTTACATTGCAGAGAAGGAAATGAAGAACTCGGAGAAGGCAGGCAGAAGCAAAGCCAGGCAGAGATCCTCAGATTCAGCTCCCAATTCTCCGTAAGAAACGAGACTCCCTTCCAAGCGCGGTAGCTGCTCTTCTGTGTCCTGCGGGTCTTCCCTGCAGCCCCTGCGAACCTCGCCCCTTCCTCTACTCCCCTGGCCCGGAAAGTGCCCACTCACCTGCTGCATCAGCCTTTCTGCCACTCTGGGGTCAGTGAGGTCTTCCGGGGAAGCCACACTCAGCCACAGGAGGAGGAAACCTCCATTTTCACCTGCAAATGGAGAACAGTAAGATGAAAATCAGGGCTGGGCGCAGTGGCTCACACCTGTCATCCCAGCACTTTGGGAGGCAGAGGCAGGTGGATCACCTGAGATCGGGAGTTTGAGACCAGCCTGACCAACATGGAGAAATCCCGTCTTTACTAAAAACACAAAATGAGCCGGGCATGGTGGTGCGTGCCTGTAATCCCAGCTACTCAGGAGGCTGAGGCAGGAGAATCGCCTGAACCTGGGAGGCGGAGGTTGTGGTGATCTGAGATCGCAGCACTACACTCCAACCTGGGCAACAAGAGCGAAACTGTCTCAAAAAAAAAAAAAAAAAAAAAGAGGAGGATGAAATAGTCACATATATTTGCTTCCGTATGTACATTTCATGTGCAGAAAATTACACACAAGAGACAATCTCACGGGTTACATGTGTGGAGAGAACTGGGTGGGGGCACAGCCAGGGGAGAAAGGCATTTTATGGTGAACCTTTTCGTACCTTTCCATTTCAAATCATATGAATGTCTTATCTAATCAACAAATAATAAAGTATTTTTCTTTCCAGGGAAAAGAAGGAGCGATCAGACTGTCACTGTGTCTCTGTAGAAAGGAAAGACATGAGACTCCATTTTGAAAAAGACCTGTACTTTAAACAAGCTTTGCTGAGATGTTGTTAATTTGTAACTTTGCCCCAACCTTGAGCTCATAAAAACATGTGTTGTATAAAATCAAGGTTTAAGGGATCTAGGGCTGTGCAGGACGTGCCTTGTTAACAAAATGTTTACAAGCAGTATACTTGGTAAAAGTCATCGCCATTCTCTAGTCTCAATAAACCAGGGGCACAATGCACTGTGGAAAGCCGCAGGGACCTCTGCCCTTGAAAGCAGGGTATTGTCCAAGCTTTCTCCCCATGTGATAGTCTGAAATATGGCCTCGTGGGATGACAAAGACCTGACCGTCCCCCAGGCTGACACCCGTAAAGGGTCTGTGCTGAGGTGGATTAGTAAAAGAGGAAAGTCTCTTGCAGTTGAGCTAGAGGAAGGCCACTGTCTCCTGCCTGCCCCTGGGAACTGAATGTCTCAGTATAAAACCCGATTGTACATTTGTTCAATTCTGAGACAGGAGAAAAACCACCCTGTGGCGGGAGGTGAGACATGTTTGCAGCAATGCTGCTTTATTATTCTTTACTCTGCTGAGATGTTTGGGTGGAGAGAAACATAAATCTGGCCTACGTGCACATCCAGGCATAGTATCTTCCCTTGAACTTAATTATGACACAGATTCTTTTGCTCACATGTTTCTTGCTGACCTTCTCCTTATTATCACCCTGCTCTCCTACTACATTCCTTTTTGCTAAAATAATGAAAATAATAATCAATAAAAACTGAGAAAACTCAGAGACTGGTGCCGGTGCAGGTCCTTGGTATGCTGAGCGCCGGTCCCCTGGGCCCACTGTTGTTTCTCTATACTTTGTCTCTGTGCCTTATTTCTTTTCTCAGTCTCTCATCCCACCCGACTAGAAATACCCACAGGTGTGGAGGGGCAGGCCACCCCTTCACTTTCCAGAGCAGTTTAGCTACCATCTTCAACCCTGTCAGATGGGGTCGTGTTACCCACCTCCTAAGGCTGTTTTGAAGGTTAAATAGAGGAGATAACATATGCAAAGCTGGTGGCACACTGCCTGGCATCATAACATATGCAAAGCTGGTGGCACACTGCCTGGCATCAGATAACATATGCAAAGCTGGTGGTACACTGCCTGGCATCAGATAACATATGCAAAGCTGGTGGTATACTGCCTGGCATCAGATAACATATGCAAAGCCGGTGGCACACTGCCTGGCATCAGATAACATATACAAAGCCGGTGGCACACTGCCTGGCATCAGATAACATATGCAAAGCTGGTGGCACACTGCCTGGCACCGGAGAGAACGTTCTGCTGGGGCCAGTGCTTACTGGGTGTGAAACATGTTTATATCACCCCTGCCTATAACATGAAAGATATTCAATAATATCTTTATGTATTGAGTGGTTGTGATTAATATTTGTATTCCCACCTCCCCCAGAAAGGTGGTAACAAGCTGCGGATACACAGAGATGAGGCCCAAGGGCAGAGTGACAGGAAGTGGAGGTGGAGGCTACAGGCTGACCAGAAGCTGGACTGACCAAGCAGCCTCTGACAATGAACTTCTCCCCTGAGAAGTCCCTGTTGCCTCAGAGATGTAGCTTTAAACTCCCAAGCCTTCGCTGTATTTGCTTATTTTATCTTACCTTTTTTTTTTGAGACGGAGTTTCACTCCGTCTCAGCTCACTGTAACCTCCACCTCCCGGGTTCAAGTGATTCTCCTGCCTCAGTCTCCCAAGTAGCTGGGATTACAGGCGCCCACCACTGCGCCCAGCTAATTTTCATATTTTTAGTAGAGATGGGGTTTCACCATGTTGGTCAGCCTGGTCTCGAACTCCTGACCTCAGGTGATCCGCCGGCCTCTGCCTCCCAAAGTGCTGGGATTACAGGCATAAGCCACCGCTCCAGGCCTGTATTAATTTATTTTAAGTCACTATCTATGGCATAAATCCCAGGAAATGCATCCAGCAGGCCCCACTTTCATGGGGTCCCAGCCTGTCAGAGAGCAGCAGCTTGGGCCTGATGCCTGCCTGCTGCTCCTCTGTGTGGCTATGGCTGGAATAGAAGCTTCCAGAGCTGCTCAACAGTGCACTTCACAGAAGGTCAGAGCTGGACAGGACTTCAGTGCCCATTCCAACCCTCTCCAAATACAGGTGGAGAAACTGAGGCCCAGAGAGGGACAGGGACTTGCCCAAGGTCACTCGGGTTGTTACAGGCAGAGCCGAGACCGCAAACCATTTCTCCGGACTTCCATCCCCACCCCTTTCCATACACAACCCTCCATCTGCCTTTTCCTGATTTCGCCAAGAACCACTAGAAGATCACGAAGAGGCAACATCAGGAGCAGGCTCTGAGTAGGCTCCAGATCCTTCCCTCCTCTCCACTCCTCAAGTGCGGAGACGTCCTGGAAACTCCGCATCCCAAATCCCCGAAGATCACCAGCAGGAGCCACTTACCTGCACTCACGTCTGTGGTCGGCCTCGTCCGGGCAGTCGTGGGCGTGGCTGTTGGGGGCTTCATCGTGGTCTTCGCTGAGGTTGTGATCTTGGCTAAGGTGCTGTTCGTCCCTCGGCTGCTGTTGGTTGTAGTCGGAGGGACAGAAGGAAGAGGGTCCCTGCTGGTGGGGAAGGGCCCCTTGGTTGCGATGTCCATGGTCGGTGTCTCTGAAGGGGTGAAGTTCTTGAGGGCGGCTTCCGAGGGGCTGTAGGAGGAAGCAGAGCTCCCAGCAAAGGAAGTTGTTTTGCCCACTGCTGACCCAGCCTCTATGGAGACCGGAGCTGCTCCTGAGACTTTGACGTAACTTGGTGTCTCAACAGAGAGGGCTGAGGTTTCTTCCAGGGGATTCCTGCTAACTGTGACCAGAGCTCCACTGAGGGTCGTGGCCCCGGGTGCTGTCACTTCTCTTTCTGTGGCGCTGTTAGTGGGGAGTGGGGTCCCAACCGTGGCATGAGGTGCAGCTGACTCTGTGGTGCCGGCTGTGGACAGGGTCTCGGCAGAGGCTGTGACCTCAGTGATGTGTGGTTTTGCTTCAGTGGAGTCAGGCAGAGCTGGTGGATCGGAGGTGGACGAGGCCTTCACCCCTTCCGTGGGGATGAGATCTATGTCTGAGGCCCCAGGGATGCTGGAAGTTGTTGTTTCTGTGATGCTGCAATTAATAACCTCGATGTTTGTGACAGTCACCAGGGCTTCAGCGAGGAGAGTGACGTCAGATCCCGGGGACCATGAGGGGGTGATGACTGGATGGGGGCCGTCGGAAGAGGCGCTGCTCTCTGAGGCCCGTGACGGGGTGATGACTGGATGGGGGCCGTCGGAAGAGGCGCTGCTCTCTGAGGCCCGTGACGGGGTGATGACTGGATGGGGGCCGTCGGAAGAGGCGCTGCTCTCTGAGGACAGGCCCTTAGCTTCTGTGGAGGTGTGAGCCAATGTCAATATGTCCATTGTGAGTGTCTTTGCCTCTTCAGAGATGTCATCGGTGCAAAGGGTGTCAAAGATGGCTTCCTCGGGATCACTGCCTGTGATGGTCTGAACTGTGGTCATTCCAGCTCCCTCGGGGCTGCCACTGGCGGCTGATGTCTCCACGGAGGTGGCGATCAGCACCATGAAGTTGGGAGATGTTTTTGTGAAACTCCTGGTCTCTCTTGCAGGGGAAATTCTCTTGGCTCCCCTGGTCTCTGCTTCTGGAATGGGGCCGGCTGGGGTTGAGGCCCTAGAAGAGGTCTCAGCGCTCAGCGTTTGAGTTTCCAGAGCGGCGTGGCCCGGTGCTAGAGTCATAGCGGGCACTTCTGTGTCGTCCGTTGTCATCGCAGTGTCTGCTCTGCGGGTGCTGGGGCCTGTGTTGGTTAAGACTGACTTGGTGAGCCTGGGTTCCAGTGGACTTCACACAAGCTATTGCATTTACACCCTGGGCACTTCTGGGAGGAGGGTGGGGCAGGGGAGTGCCGTTACCTCATTTTTCATCTACATAAGCGAACAAGAAGGAGGCAGTCCTGGGAAGCCCAGGCCTGTGTGGCAGCCATGGAGCTGGGGTTGCCATGACTGGCGTCCTCTGAAACCCTGACAACTCACTTGGGGCCAGCAAGCCCCAGGATCTGCTGGCTATCGGCCTGCGTCTTTAAGAGGGGATGTGTGGGGCCAGCGTCCACCTTCCAGGGTGAGCCAAGAAGGCAGACCAGCGTCCAGGACTCGCAGAGCTTTCTGAACCTCTGTCGCCTTCCCCGGGTACTTTTCTCATCCAACACATAGTTCCCCATGGAAGTAAAAACCCTTAAAAGACGAGAAAGGCCTATGATTGTGCCTTTCGGGGTAGCTGGGTGGATTGAGGCGGGGGAACCTCCAGAGACAGGGTGGGCAGTGCTGCTGCCAAAGCGAGGGAGCCGGCAGAGTCCTTGGGGCTCCGGCAAGGGAAAGACGGCACCCCCCACCCTGCCGAGGCCCCTCCTGAATGAGGGCCGAGAACTGCAGGGTTGGAGCCTGGGAACCATGGAAACCGTGGCCAGGCATTTTCCACAGGACACCGGGAGCCCCTGAGGCAACACCTAGCTTTTCAGAGAGCGGCTGCCGGCACTTCTGCCCAGAGCAGAGGCCTGTTCCCTTGACTGGCCCTGAGGTGGGAGGAATGGGAGTCCCCGAGGGAGGCTACGGTAGGATATCTTCCCTAGAGACAGGGTCTTGCTCTGTTGCCCAGGCAGGTCTTGAATTCCTGGGCTCAAGCGATCCTCCTGCCTCAGCCTCTTGAGTAGTTTACTACAAGATCTTTTCTGGCCTGAGAAAGGGGGCCTCCCCTGTCTAGAGGGAGATCGGGCTCTCCCTGTGAGTGGGCCAAGGAGCCTCTTGGAGAGGGTTTCTAGATTTAGCAAATAAAAATACAGGGTACTCGGTTAAATTTGAACTCGCAGTTCAGATAAATGACGAATAACTTTTTAGCATGAGTATTTCTCATGCAATATTGGCTACGTACTTACACTTAAAAAAAAATTGTTACCTGAAATTCAAATGTAACTGGATGCCCTGTGTTTTATCTGGTAATCCCAGTCTTGGAAGGAAAAGGATCAAATACGAACCCCCTAATTCTCTGAGCCTTCTTGGTGCAGCCCACACAGCTGGAAGCCCAAAGGTGGCGCTCTTGGAGTCTGACCTCCCCTGGCACAGGGTTTGAGATGGTCTTTACCCGGCTCCACTGGCCCAAAAGTAGCTCATAGACCCAAAAGAGGCCTAGCACCTCTCCCCAGGACGTCAGGATGGGGCTCCAGGTCCCCAGCTGGTTGTCCTGTGGACCTCAGGGAATGACGAGGCAGGAGTCAAGAGCCTCGGTTGCAGCTCCCGCTGTGCCGCCCACGACCGGCTCTGGGGTCAGATGATCTGCTGGTTCAAATCCTGACTCAGCCTCCTACTAGCCAGGCCAGTCTCTAGACCCCTCCCAGCCTCCATGTCCTCACCTGAGAAAACAGGGTCACAATACCTGCCTTGCCAACGTGGTGAGGACCAGCGGAGAAGATGAAAGGGCTTATATTCCAAAGCCCACAAGGTAAGCATCCCTCCCCATGGAGTCCTCTCCCGGGCCCCTGGAAAGCACGCATAGTCGATTTGACTATAGTGAGGAGTGCGGGCTGCACCCCCAGGCAGTATAGGCGAGTCCCGGGCACCCACTCTCATCCCTGGTCCAGTGCGGCCCAGCTGCACACACAAATCTCACCTTTGCAGGAACTGTTCGTCTGCCTTCATAATACAGTTTCTTCTCCCCACTTCAAGCCTGAGATCATTTCTCTGAGCCTTCTTGGTCCAGCCCACACAGCTGGAAGCCCAGAGTGGTGCCCTTGGAGCCCGACTTCCCCTGGCACATTTTCTGGCTTATCCAGGAGCCCCGGGGTGTCCTTTCTGCTGTGAAACCTCCTCGCTCCCCAAGCCCACAGCCTCTCGGGTCCAAGGGGGTCTTCTCGAATACAGCAAATCCCAGCCCAGCCCCCTCAGTAGCTCTGGAACACTGCGGCTCTCCTGGTACAATCTTCAAATCTGGTGGAGAGGAAAGCGTGTGGACTTGGGACCCTGAGTTGGAGAATCTGCTCTCTGCCCTGTGACCCTGGCCAAGTCTCTCAGCTCCAAGCCTGCATTTCCGCACCTGTAAGGTGGAGCTAAC
Source organism: Homo sapiens (assembly GCF_000001405.40). Lineage (NCBI taxonomy): Eukaryota > Metazoa > Chordata > Mammalia > Primates > Hominidae > Homo > Homo sapiens. The sequence continues at coordinate 71,814 of NT_187690.1, forward strand.
GGGACACGTGCAGCGCAGACCAGGCCACGGTGAGCACAGGCAGGAGGCCACGGGGTGCAGTGCTCAGGCCTGTGAGGAGTCAGATTCTGGCTCCGAGGAGTTGTTACTGGATGCCCAGAAGCACAGTGGCCTCATCCTTAAAGCAGTGGAGGTGGGGGGTGGTAAGAACAGGGCCGATCTTGCAGGGCCGTTGTGAGGATTAAAAATACAATGTATGATAATGATGCATCAAAGTAGGTTCCTCAGTCCTATCAAATGTGCCACTCTGGTGGGGGACGCTGATGATGGGGGAGGCTGTGAGTGGTGGGGATGGGAACTCCAGACTCTCCACTGCAGCTTTTTTTTTTTTTTGAAACACAGTTTCACTTTTGTTGCCCAGGCCAGAGCGCAACGGTGCGATCTCAGCTCACTGCAAACTCCACCTCCCAGGTTCAAGCAATTCTCCTGCCTCAGCCTCCCGAGTAGCTGGGATTACAGGCACCTGCTACCACCCCCGGCTAATTTTGTATTTTTAGTAGAGACGGGGTTTCTCCATGTTGGTCAGGCTGGTCTCGAACTCCTGACCTCAGGTGATCCACCCACCTCAGCCTCCCAAAATGCTGGGATTACAGGTGTGAGCCACCACGCCCGGCCTCTCCACTCGAGGTTTAGAGGGAGCATAGAACTGCTCTAAAAAAAAAATAAATCCTTTTCTATTTTTTAATGTATGTGATGAGTTTGGCACAACTCCTATTAGCGACAGGTCAGGGTTCATTCCCGTCTTTCACAAAAGCCCTGCCTGTCAGCATCCACCCTTCCCAAGCAGTTTGTGGCAGTTGGACTTTTCACACGAAATCTGTATTTTGAAGGAAATCCATGCTAGGTAATAAACTGGGAGGAGTCAGAATCTTGTTAAGCCACATTCTTCAGCTTTCTGCACAATGATCACCAGCTGGCACCTCCCTGCACCCCCGCTCCGTGCCCCACTTACTGTCCCACGTTCATAAACAGAAACTCTCAGCCACCCCTTACGATGGCAGCGTCATGTTTGATTAGTGTGTACTGCATCGCCAGGCACGCTTACACTCACACACATCGTCATGGTTGATTAGTGTGTACTGCAGCGCCATGCACGCTTACACTCACTCACACTGTCATTTGCACACTCTTTATCAACAATAATAGCACTTCACAAGTAGCACTGTGGTTCATTATAATCAACCCGAGAGAGCCTGCCCTTGCCCATGAAGGGTGGCTCATACTGAAATTCACTCCCAGAGCCCTACTAGGGGAGAGGCCCACCAGGCCCTTCTAGGCCTCCTTACCTGCAGAGCTCCCAGAGACCCCAACCTCCCAGCAGAAGAAAAGGGGCAGAGCCAGACCCCAGAGACAGCCCATCCTAGCCGGCCACCGCTGCTCCACAGAACTGCTGGCTGTCTCTCGCGGGTACCTTTTCCTGCTTCCTCAAACCAGGGAGGGGCAGCCTCCTGCCCAGGTGTGTGACCAGGTGATCACAAATGTGCAGGCTGAGGGCTGGCAGGTTGAGGCTGTCAGCAAGCTGACCCCCCTGCCTTCCTTGCCCGGTAAACACTCCACTGAAATTTGATTTGAAGATATGGAATCACTAGCTTTTTTTTTTTTTTTTTGAGATGGAGTCTTGCTCTGTCACCCAGGCTGGAGTGTACAGTAATGAGATCTCAGCTCAATGAAACCTCTTCCTCCCGGGATCCAACAATTCTCCTGCCTCAGCCTCTGGAGTAGCTGGGATTATAGGCGCGCACCACCACGTCCGGCTAATTTTTGTATTTTTAGTAGAGATGGGGTTTCACCATGTTGGCCAGGCTAGTCTCAAACTCCTGACCTCAGGTGATCTACCTACCTCAGCCTCCCAAAGTGCTGGGAGTACAGGCATGAGCCACTGCACCCAGCCAAGTGCTTTTATTTTCTTAAGCCAATTAATTAGAGCTCTTTTATATATTTTCAGTAGCAAAACACTGTGTACACAACAACACATAAATACACAGATGTATTAGGTATGCTGAAAGAAGTTCATCTTATAGATTCATAAAGAGCTTTTTTCTTACACCTTCAAATTCTTTTTTACTTTTTTTTTTTTTTTTTGAGACAGAGTCTCACTCTGTTGCCCAGGCTGGAGTGCAATGGCTTGATCTCGACTCACTGCAACCTCTGCCTCCTGGCTTCAAGTGATTCTCCTGCCTCAGCTTCCTGAGTAGCTGGGATTATAGGCACCTGCCACCACACCTGGCTAATTTTTTTTGTATTTTTAGTAGAGACGGGGTTTCAACATGTTGGCCAAGATGGTTTTGAACTCCTGACCTCAAGAGATCTTTGCGGCTCAGCCTCCCAAATGCTAGGATTACAGACGTGAGCCACCGTGCCCAGCCACACCTTCGAATTCTTGATAACCTGTTTTACTACTCTAAGCGGTTGTCAGCTAAATAGCCTTGAATTTGCATTTTAAGGAAACTGAGGTGAAAATCGAATAGCAAAATTTACATCATAACGTATGGAGAGAAAAAGTCTGGTGTGCTGGAGGGAAATTAAAACAGATTTAATTGCCAATTAAACATAAAATTATAGAAATTATAAAGGCCTTTTAAATATATACACACACACAAAGATCCTATAGCTTTTACTTCAGAAATTTAGCCATGAAAGCTGGGCGCGGTGGCTCACGCCTGTAATCCCAGCACCTTGGGAGGCCGAGGCGGGCAGATCACCTGAGGTCAGGAGTTGGAGACCAGCCTGACGAACATGGAGAAACCCCATCTCTACTAAAAATACAAAAAATTAGCCAGGCGTGGTGGTGCATGCCTGTAATCCCAGCTACTCGGGAGGCTGAGGCAAGAGAATCACTTGAACCAGGGAAGCGGAGACTGTGGTGACCCAAGATCACGCCATTGCACTCCAGCCTGGGCAACAAGAGTGAAACTCTGCCTCAAAAAAAAAAGAAAAAAAAAAGAGAAAGAAAAGAAAAAAAGAAATTTAGCCATGAAATAAATACAAATTCACCAGTTTACAAACAGAAAAACTATCTGATCCAAACAGTGTTTTTTATCTTAATAGGAAAATAACAGCAAATTTAAAGCAGGCAGAGAAGAAACTAGAGAAAAAAGAGGACTCAGGAACTCTACAGTTTGCAGGTCAACCTCAGGGCTCCTTTTTTTTTTAATGTAAATGTGCAGAAAGACCATATTACTTCCACTTTACGTAAACTCTGGCAAGTAGAGGCGCCATGAACCCTATGGAGTACTCGGCTGGGAGGAGCAAACGCCCTTTCTCTTTGGAGCTGAGAAAACTCAATCTCTCATTTACCTATGACAACAACAGTTCAGTTCCTCATGCAAATACATAGACAACCCAAACTGAGATTCATTTTGGGAGAAAAAGCAATAGAGAAGACCCTTTAGGATGCATCTCTGAACTAGAATTAGGATCCTTAAATCACAGCTTCCTAGAAGAGAAAAAAAAAAAAAAAAAAAACAGCCAAGACCATTCCCTGTAAACTGTGCTCAGCCACCCCTTCTTTGTAGTTCTCGTCTGCCATTACACACGCCAAGGTCAAATCCTCTCACAGTGCAGGGTCATCTCTGGTTCCCCCAAAGCCAAAGAGGTCAGGTCATGCCGTACAGGAAGACAGCAGAGCTTTAGACCTAAGAAGAATCCGCCCATCACTCTTGAAACTCCACAAAGAAAACAGAGCACCCTGGAAGGGGTGAGTGGCCCCTTTGTTCCGGATCCTTTAAAGGGGCTCGAGTCATTGGAAGCCTTCTCTAGATTTTTTTGGTCCCGCAGATGGCAAAGGCAGGAGGAGGTATAGGGAGGAAGAAAAGTAAGTGAAAGAGCATTTGTTGTTTTTGTTTGTTTGTTTTTTAAGACAGAAAGCAAACACAGAAACCAAGCACGTGATTTGTTGGTTTTTTTCGTTTAGTTTTTTCCTCTTTTGCAGCTGCAAGGAATTTTAGCCAAATTAGAGAGGCTTTGTTACCCATAATTTGGAATTCTCACTTGGATTTGACCAAGTCAGGTAGAGTTGGTCAAATCTGATGAGAGAAAGACCAGAAAAAACAACAACAACAGAAGTCAAATGATATGAACACAGACTGCTCTAATGGGAAGAAGAAATTCAGACCAGCTGGTTGTTAACCTTCAGCCAAGACAAAACCTCAGTTCAGCTACTTACCTAGGGATGGGTCTCAGGCTGAAGACTGCTCTCTACCATCCTTGAAGCAGGAAAAAAACTCGAACTTGTCTTCCCTGCTGGGAGCAAGCTCAAACTCCATAAAAGAGTTGTCAGCCTTCCATCATCACGGACCCAGGAAATCTTGCCTTCCTTCTTGGAAGCAAATAAAACTCCAAAAGAAGGGGAGGGGGAGTTGTACATCAAATAAACTTTAGATCACGACCAAGTTTTGAGAGATCAGGGACTCTCTGGAGGGGGTGCTCCCAGACCTCAGCAAATTGTCCTGTTGGTTTGAGCCATAAGGTTAGCTCATGCTGCTACCAAGCACCAATAGATCTGTCAAAGGTCAGGGGCACCTCAACTCAGAATCCCTCCATGGTTACCAAAATGTGAACCCCCCAAATCTGAGACAGGTCTCAGTTAATTTAGAAAGTTTATTGTTCCAAGGTTGAAGATGCACACCCGTGACACAGCCTCAGGATGTCCTGACGACATGTGCCAAGGTGGTCATACGTTTTAGGGAGACATGAGACATCAATCAACACATGTAAGATGAACATTGGTTCAGTCTGGAAAAGGCCGGGCAACGCCAAGCAAACGTGGGACAACTCGCAGCCAGGAGAAAGCTTCCAGGTCACAGGTGGGTGAGAGACAAAGGTCGCATTCTTTTGAGTTTCTGATGGGCCTTTCCAAAGAAGGCAATCAGATATGCATCTATCTCAGTGAGCAGGGGGTGATTTTCAATAGAATGGGGGGCAGGTCGGCCCTAAGCCATTCCCGGCTTGACTTTCCCCTTTAGCTTAGTGACTTTGGGGGCCCAAGATTTATTTTCCTTTCACAAAACAATAAACATAACAAATAAGTGAATTATAGAAAGGTGAAAACTATGGGAAAAAAAGAAAAACAGGGAGAAAGAATCCTGAACACTGACGTGGGGAGGGCAGGTGCCAGCTGCAGTACTAAATAGCAGAGGGGAGGGCAGGTACCAACTGCAGTACTAAATACTGGTGTGGGGAGGGCAGGTGCCAGCTGCAGTACTAAATACTGCTGTGCGGAGGGCAGGTGCCAGCTGCAGTACTAAATAGCAGAGGGGAGGGCAGGTGCCAGCTGCAGTACCAAATACTGGTGTGGGGAGGGCAGGTGCCAGCTGCAGTGCGTGGGGAGGGCAGGTGCCAGCTGCAGTGTGTGGGGAGGGCAGGTGCCAGCTGCAGTACTAAATAGCGGGGGAAGATTTTTTTCTGAGCAACTTTGAGTCACTGCTCACATCTCATGCCAATGTATTAATCCCAAGTCAAGGGTCAGATGAGGCACTCGGATCTCTCCAGTTGCCAACACAGCTCTTCCAAGTGTACTTTACTTCCTTTCATTCCTGCTCTAAAACTTTATTTATGTATTTATTTTTGAGACAGAATCTTGCTCTGTCGCCTGGGCTGGAGTGCAGTGGCACAATCCCAGTTCACTGCAACCTCTGCCTCTGGGATCAGGCAATTCTCCTGCCTCAGCTTCCTAAGCAGCTGGGATAACAGGTGTGCACCACCGTGCTTGGCTAATTTTTTTTTTCTTTTTTCGTATTTTTAGTAGAGATGGGGTTTCACCATATTAGCCATGATGGTCTCGTACTTCTGACCTCAGGTGATCCACCTGCTTTAGCCCCCCAAAGTGCTGGGATTACAGGTGTGAGCCACCACGCCCAGCCCTGGCCAACTTTTGTTTTTTTTGAGACAGAGTTTCATTCTTATTGCCCAGGCTGGAGTGCGATGGCCCAATCTTGGCTCACTGCAACCTCTGCCTCCCAGGTTTGTAGGATATAATAAATTCTTCTTCAAAGGTTTTAGCCTGTAAATTGTTAAGTACAATGAGTTCTGAGATCCTCTCCAAAGAATCAATGTATCAGTATGTTCAGCTCTTCATTTTAAAGTTTAACTTCCTCGTTTTCTTCATCTCCTTGCCCCTAGTTTCAGTAAACAACCCCCTCCTAGCCTCTATCACCTGCTCCATCCTGAGTCACCCCCAGTCACCTGCTCTAATCTGAGTCATCCTGAGTCAACAGGGTTTCACCATGTTGGCCAAGTTGGTCTCGAACTCCTGACCTCATGTGATCCGCCCACCTCAGCTTCCCAAAGTGCTGGGATTACAGGCGTAAGCCATCGTGCCTGGCCAGTTTTCACTTTAAAATGATCTCTAATACCAACTCTTGGGGTCCAAATGGGTCCCCACTGGTTTCAAATGTTGAGCATGCACAGATTATGTGGATGAGAACTTGCCAGGTGGGCTTACCGAAGGAGACGTGGTAAGAATCGCCTACATTTGCCAGGCCCTGAGGACAGGCCCTCTCCACACCGAGGCTTATTTCCTTGGGTTGCAGAAGAGGAAACGCCAGGGAGCCCAGTATTCTTTGGTTCATTCACTTCTTTTTTATGTTGTAACCTACATACTGTAAACTACGCCCAGCTTAAGTAGCGTATACCCTGATGAATTTTTATGTACGTATGTATCCCCAGGATGTATCCGACACTCAGGTCAAGATACAGAACGTGCTCAGCACCTCAACAGGTGCCCTTGTGTTCCCTTCCAGTCAAGCCCCCACTTGCCACCACAGAATGGAACAATCATTTTTTTTTTTTTTTATTTTTATTTATTTATTTTTTTTTAGAGACAGGGTCTCGCTCTGTCTCCAAAGCTGGAGTGCAGCTCCATCATGGTTCACTGCAGCCTCCGCCTCCTGGGTTTGAGCGATCCTCCCATTTCAGTGTAACCACCATTCTTATCTCTATCACCATAGATTAGCTCTGCATGTCTTTGAACTTCATATAAATGGAATCATGCATAGATAGGCTCTTTTGTGTCTGGATTCTCTCTGTTAACACTGTGTCTGTGAGACTCACTCACGCTGTGTGTAGTATTATGCTTCATCCTTTTTTGTTGTTGCATAGTATTCCACTGTATAAATATACCACAATTTATTTGTCTGTTTTCCAATTGCTGTGCATTTGGATTGTTTTGTTTTTCACTATTTTGAATAAAGCTGCTATGAACATCCTTGTATATGTCTTGGGTATACAGATGGTCCTGGCTTACAATGATTGGATTTAAAATTGTTTGACTTTATGATGGGCTTATCAGGGTATTAAATGTGTTTCTGACTTACAGTATTTTTGACTTACCACGTGTTTATTGGGACGTAACCCCTTCCTAAGATGAAGAGCATCTGTATACATCCAGAATCCTGTGGAGCAACTCATAACCCATGAGGAATGGAAGCCGACAGACAGACTCATCCCCAGGACAGATGGTTCTCACTACATCTCATAAAGCTTCTTAGAAGATCTTACAGGATTGAGCAACCAGCCAGCCACAGCAGGGGCCAACTGGATAACACGTCTTTGCACAGGCTCTCCCTCTGTCCCTGTCACCCTCCCCTTTTCCTAACCTTGTTCCTTGGGATTATGTTTTGAAATAAATTATTCAGAGAAATGAAGCCAAAGCTGACCCATTAGCCAATAGCTAGGTTCTGTGATGACAGAGCTTCTGGGCTATAATCGTTTACTGAGAAGCCAGCGTTCCTGAGGGGATAATGGCTCGTTCCATTCAGCTGCAGCATAGGAGTGAGGGCAGGGCATTAGCAGAAGATAACACCAGAAACGTGCCCTGGGGCCTGTTGATGACTTTCTGTGCCAAGCGTAGACATTTAGCCTTTATTCTGTATGTGATGGGAAGCCAGTGCCAGTGGTGGGTTTGAGCAGGGAACCAGCAACCAGTGGTGGGTTTGAGCAGGGAACCAGCAATACTCAAGCTCTGCTTGGATGGAGGCCAGTCAGGGAGGAGTTAGGGCAGGAGGACCAGTCAGGGAGGAGACTTAGGGCAGGAGGACCAGTCAGGGAGGAGACTTAGGGCAGGAGGACCACTCAGGGAGGAGACTTAGGGCAGGAGGACCGGTCAGGGAGGAGACTTAGGGCAGGAGGACCGGTCAGGGAGGAGACTTAGGGCAGGAGGACTGGTCAGGGAGGAGTTAGGGCTGGAGGACCGGTCAGGGAGGAGACTTAGGGCAGGAGGACTGGTCAGGGAGGAGTTAGGGCTGGAGGACGGGTCAGGGAGGAGACTTAGGGTAGGAGGACTGGTCAGGGAGGAGACTTAGGGCAGGAGGACTGGTCAGGGAGGAGACTTAGGGCAGGAGGACTGGTCAGGGAGGAGACTTAGGGCAGGAGGACTGGTCAGGGAGGAGACTTAGGGCAGGAGGACTGGTCAGGGAGGAGTTAGGGCAGGAGGACCGGTCAGGGAGGAGACTTAGGGCAGGAGGTCAGGGAGGAGTTAGGGCTGGAGGACCGGTCAGGGAGGAGACTTAGGGCAGGAGGACTGGTCAGGGAGGAGTTAGGGCAGGAGGACTGGTCAGGGAGGAGTTAGGGCTGGAGGACGGGTCAGGGAGGAGTTAGGGCAGGAGGACTGGTCAGGGAGGAGTTAGGGCAGGAGGACCGGTCAGGGAGGAGTTAGGGGAGGAGGACCGGTCGGAGGAGTTAGGGCAGGAGGACTGGTCAGGGAGGAGTTAGGGCAGGAGGACCGGTCAGGGAGAAGTCAGGGCAGGAGGACTGGTCAGGGAGGAGTTAGGGCAGGAGGACCGGTCAGGGAGGAGTTAGGGGAGGAGGACCGGTCAGGGAGGAGTTAGGGCAGGAGGATCGGTCAGGGAGGAGTTAGGGCAGGAGGACCGGTCAGGGAGGAGTTAGGGGAGGAGGACCGGTCGGAGGAGTTAGGGCAGGAGGACCGGTCAGGGAGGAGTTAGGGCAGCAGTATCGGTCAGGGAGGAGTTAGGGCAGGAGGACCGATCAGGGAAGAGAGTTAGGGCAGGAGGACCGGTCAGGGAGAAGTCAGGGCAGGAGGACTGGTCAGAGAGGAGTTAGGGCAGGAGGCCTGTCTGGGAGGAGTTAGGGTAGGAGGACCAGTTAGGAGGCAGTGACTTAGGACTTCAGCAGTGGCACTAGAAAGGGGATGGATATGAACGACATTGCAAAGTAAAACTAGAGAGACGGCCGGGCACAGTGGCTCACTCCTGTAATCCCAGCACTTTGGGAGGCCAAGGCGGGTGGATCATGAGGTCAGGAGATCGAGACCAGCCTGGCCAACATGGTGAAACCCTATCTCTACTAAAAAAAAAAAAAAAAATAGCCAGGCGTGGTGGCGGGCGCCTGTAATCCCAGCTACTCCAGAGGCTGAGGCAGGAGAATTTGCTTGAACCAGGGAGTCGGAAGTTGCAGTGAGCTGAGATCGCACCACTGCACTCCAGCCTGGGCAATAGAGTGAGACTCCGTCTCAATAACAAAACAAACAAACAAAAAACTAGAGAGACTTGGCACCTTGCAGAGAGAAGCAAAAGATGACCCTGAGGTCTGGAGTCCAGGAAGCCAAGGACAGCAAAAGCATCCACAGAAACAGGAAAACGGCAGGTGTGGGAGGGAAGGTGAGAGGTTCATCAGACCCCACAGCCCCTGGCAGCGCCTCCTGGATCTTTGAAATCCTGTGCACCCCGGGAGACTCCGGGAGGCCCATCTGAGCTCACCGGAGAAAGGTCTGCCGTCTCTCCTCTCATCACTGGGGACAGAAAGCCTGAACATGAGGCCTGGACTACAGGGCTCAGACCAGAATATTTCCAGACTTAAGGGCAGTAATGTGGAGCCCAGGAAGGAATATTGAGGACAGAGGGCACATTACTTAGCTAAAGGGGTGCTGGGTTCTTATTTTCTACTTTCAAGAAATGTTTGCTATAGTCACTGTAACCACCACAAAACAGTGAATAATACCATGAGCCAAATGTATGTTTCACAATTTGTATGGCTGATTCTACGCACATTTAAATGTGTTTATGACAATTGTACATTTCAGTTTTCCTCTGGTTAAACCAATGTGGAAGTACACAGGATGGGAGCTGAGAGACAAGCATCCTGGGCCCAGCCATGCTGGCCTCAGTGGGCCAAGCTGGGGACAGATGACCTCTGCTCCGTGGATCCTGCTGGCTCAGGGTGGGGAAGGGGCCTCAGAAGAGGAGTCAGGCTCTCTTCTTTATTCTCCTCACAGCCATGGTGAATGGCATTCCTGGGAGGCTGGTTTGGAGAACTCGCTGAACCTAAGTGAGCAGGAAGTGAAGGTCTGTTCCCACCTGTGCCTGTGTTCCCAGATAGCAGCTGCCTCCAGGAGACTCACCAGGAGCCAGGTCCCTCCATACCTGATCTCAATTAACTCACTCACCAGGAGCCAGGTCCCTCCATACCTGACCTCAATTAACTCACTCACCAGGAGCCAGGTCCCTCCATACCTGACCTCAATTAACTCACTCACCAGGAGCCAGGTCCCTCCATACCTCACTCACCAGCAGCCAGGTCCCTCCACACCTCATCTCAATTAACTCATTCACCAGGAGCCAGGTCCCTCCACACCTCATCTCAATTAACTCACTCACCAGGAGCCAGGTCCCTCCACACCGGGTCTCAATTCACTCACTCGCCAGGAGCCAGTTCCCTCCATACCTCATCTCAATTAACTCACTCACCAGGAGCCAGGTCCCTCCACACCTCATCTCAATTAACTCACTCACCAGGAGACAGGTCCCTCCATACATCATCTCAATTAACTCACTCACCAGGAGCCAGGTCCCTCCACACCGGGTCTCAATTCACTCACTCACCAGGCGCCAGGTCCCTCCACACCTCATCTCAATTAACTCACTCACCAGGAGCCAGGTCCCTCCATACATCATCTCAATTAACTCACTCACCAGGAGCCAGGTCCCTCCACACCGGGTCTCAATTCACTCACTCACCAGGCGCCAGGTCCCTCCACACCTCATCTCAATTAACTCACTCACCAGGAGCCAGGTCCCTCCATACCTCATCTCAATTAACTCACTCACCAGGAGCCAAGTCCCTCCATACCTGATCTCAATTCACTCACTCACCAGGAGCCAGGTCCCTCCATACCTCATCTCAATTCACTCACTCACCAGGAGACAGGTCCCTCCATACCTCATCTCAATTAACTCACTCACCAGGAGCCAAGTCCCTCCACACCGAGTCTCAATTAACTCACTTGCCAGGAGCCAGGTCCCTCCATACCGGGTCTCAATTAACTCACTCACCAGGAGACAGGTCCCTCCACACCTCATCTCAATTCACTCACTCACCAGGAGACAGGTCCCTCCATACCTGATCTCAATTCACTCACTCACCAGGAGACAGGTCCCTCCACACCTCATCTCAATTCACTCACTCACCAGGAGCCGGGTCCCTCCACACCTGATCTCAATTAACTCACTCACCAGGAGCCAGGTCCCTCCACACCTCATCTCAATTAACTCACTCACCAGGAGACAGGTCCCTCCACATCTCATCTCAATTAACTCACTCACCAGGAGCCAGTCCTCTCCATACCTGATCTCAGTTACCTCACTCACCAGTAGCCAGGCCTCTCCAGACCTGGCTTAATTCTCACTATACTTAATTCAATTAATTCTCACTATAGCCCTATCAGACAAACTCTAGGATACACATGAGGATACAGAGTCTCAGAAAGGCTGAGAAAGTGGCTTGAGGTCACCTAGGTGGTAAGTGGTAGAGCTAGGAGTTGAAGTCAAGTCTGACTCTCAAGTCCACGCTCTTTCCATTGCACTATCTGCTTTTCTTTCTCCCCAAAGCCACAATATGCCACGATGCGGCCCAAGGCCTCTCCTCCAGTACCGTGCTGAGGGCTCTGAACAGATCAGGGCTGAAGCCAAGATGTCATCCAGTGCAATACCCACATGACCTCCGTGAATATCTACCCTGCCTTAACACTGTTTATCTTTAGGAAGCAGGATGCCTGAGGTCCAAACTTCTCCCTGGTGATCAAACCAGCTAAGACTGATGGAATCCAAGATGGCAGCTCATTTGACCTCTAACTTCATTATAATCTAATTTCCATGTTAAATGACAGTCCCACTAACACCGTAACAGTCAACAACCAACATGACAATGATGGGAAAAAATAACATAAAAAAACAAATAGGAAGGTGGCACTCTGGTTTTGAAAATTTCTCCACCCAGACCCAGAAAACACATGATTCCTCCCCTTGCTTTTTTCATTTTTATTTTTGTAGAGATGGGGGTGTATCACTATGTTGACCAGGATGGTCTCGAACTCCTGGTCTCAGCAATCCTCTCATTTTGGCCTCCCAAAGTTCTGGGTTTATGGGAGTGAGCCATTGCACCTGGCCACTCCTCCCCTTGCTTTTAATGCTCAGCCCCTTCACTAAAGATGCCCTGTATCTGTGACTTCCTGGGTCTCACGAGCAGAAAAGTTGATTTGTGAGCCAAGCTCTCACTTCTCAATTCCATGGCCACCAAATAAAGCCTGCACTGCTTGAGGCTCACTTTCGGTTTTGCATATTGGCTTCATGGCACCAAACAGGGAAAGACCCCATTTTAGGGAAAGTGGCTTTGTCAGTAACAAGGACACAGAAGGAAAGAAATGGAGGATGATTTAGGGCAGAAGTCAGCAAACTATGGTCTATGGGCCAAATCTGGCCACTGCCTGTTTTTGTGCAACTCATAGGCTAAGAATGTTTTCTACATTTTTAGATGGTAGGAGAAGAACAAAAGAGGAAGAATGTTTTGTCACAAAAGTATATGAGATTCAAATTTCAGTGTCCACAGACGGCAATCCTGGCTCCTACCCCTAAAACAATCATTGCAGTGGAGCTCTGCCCTAGCTACGGCCCCTTTCTTCTTTTGGTTCCCTGACTTTGGGGCCTGGAGGGCACAAAGGCAAGGAGCAGGCTGCCATCCACCCCTTCTCAGAGAACCTGCAGGGAGCTCACCATGCTCTGCATCCAGTCTAGGTGGCTCCTAGCGGGGCTTGGTGGGTTCTCCATCCTCAGCACCATCTGCAGCACCATCTTGGTCATCTGAGAAGCTGAGAGAAACACAAGGTAAATGTTCCTGTCCTCATTTCTGCCTCCCAACCCCACTGCTGCTGCTCAATGTCCCCAGTATCTCTCTGCAGACTCCTGTGTGCCCTCAAAAGTCTACACGGTACCAGTCAAGAGACATCCATACTGCAAGATGATAGAAAGGTAAGTGGAACCCAACCACCTCATTCTCTACCCTCATGTCTACCACGGACAGCTGAACCTCTCCCTGTGGAACCTGGAAAAGTAGCTCAGAGAGGAGTAGCAGGTGGCAAGGAACATCAGGGAAACAAAGCTAGAAGGAGCATGTAGGCACCTTTGACCTGAAATAGACAAGATGCAAGATCTCAGGATTGTCAGGGACCTTAGGAACCATCTAGGCCACATCCCGGCTTTGGCCTGAAGTGCAGGCAAAGGGTTTGCCTCTGCCAGCCATCGCATCCAGCTTTGCTGTAGGTGGAATCGGGCCTGTATGTGAGTTACCAGGGTTGCAGAGGACACTGTGGTCTGGGTGGCAGTCTGGTGCCACATGGCAGAATTCATCACAGTAGCAACTTCCCCTCTTGCAGCGGTGATCCGTCCCAAGACAGCAAAGGTTCTGGGGTTGGGAGCAGCTGCCTGGAGAAAAAGGAACATTAAAAAAAAAAAAAAAGATTAAAATTAGCCAGGTATGGTGGTGCACGCCTGTAGTCCCAGCTACCCAGGAGGCTGAGACAGGAGATCACTTGAGCCCAGACGCAGGAAGCTGAAGTGAGCCATGATCACACCAGCGCACTTCAGCCTGGGTGACAGAGCAAGACCCTGTCTCAAAAAAAAAAAAAAAAAAAAAAAAAGGAAAAGAAAAGATAGATTTAACAAATGGTGCTTAGACAACTGGATAAGCACATGCAAAAGAATGCATTTGGACTCCTACCTCAAACCATATACAAATATTAACTCAAAATGGACCATAGACCTAAATGTAAGAGCTGAAACTGGCTGGGTGCGGTGGCTCATGCCTGTAATCCCAGCACTTTGGGAGACCAAGGCAGGCAGATCACTTGAGGCCAGGAGTTCAACACCAGCCTGGCCAACATGGTGAAACCCGTCTCTACTAAAAACACAAAAATTAGCTGGGCTTGGTAGCATGCACCTATAGTCCCAGCTACTCAGGAGGCTGAGGCAGGAGAATTGCTTGAACCCAGGAGGTGGAGGTTGCAGTGAGCCAAGATTGCACAACTGCACTCCAGCCTGGGCAACAGAGCAAGACTCTGCCTCCAAAATAAATAAATAAATAAAAATAAGTCAATCAAATTTAAAACTGGACAAAGGATTTAAATAGACATTTCTCCAAAGAAGATACACAAGTGGCCAGTGAGCATGAAAGATACTCAACATCATTAATCATAAGGAAATGCAAATCCAAACCACAATGAGATACCACCCCACATCCAGTAGGACGGCTAAGATAAAAAATAAAACAGCAAGTGTTGGCTGGGTGGGGTGGCTCACACCTGTAATCACGGCACTTGGGAACACTGAGATGGGTGGATGACGAGTTCAGGAGTTTGAGACCATCCTGGCCAGCATAGTGAAACCCGTCTCTACTAAAAATACAAAAATTAGCTGGGTGTGGTGGCATGCACCTGTAGTCCCAGCTACTCAGGAGGCTGAGGCACGAGAATCTCTTGAACCCAGGAGGCAGAGGTCGCAGTGAGCTGAGATCACGCCACTGCACTCCAGCCTGGCGACAGAGCGAGACCCCATCTCAAAAAAAAAAAAAAAAAAAGCAAGTGTTGAAGTGTTGCTGAGGGTGTGGAGAAATTGGAACCCTCATACACTGCTGGTGGAATTGCAAAATGGTGCAGCCACTTTGAAAATCAATTTGGGGAGATGAGGTGGCAGCAGAAAAGAATAAAAAAAAAAAAGAAAAAAAAGAAAAACAATTTGACAGTTTCTCAGAATGTAAACATAGAGTTGCCATATGACCCAGAAACCCTACTTCTGAGCCTGTAGTTAGGAGAATTAAAAACACATGTTCACACAAAAACCTATCAATGAATATTCATAGCAGTGTTATTCATAATAGCCAAATAGTAGAAACAATTCAAATGCCCTTCAACTGATGAATGGCTAAAACTAAATCTGGTATATCCATATAATGGGATATTACTCAGCCATAAAAAGGAATGAAGTACAGATGCATGCCACAACAACAATGAAACTTGAAAACATGCTAAGTGAAAGAAGCCACTCACAAAAGGCCGTGTATTGTATGATTCCATTTATATGAAATGTTTAGAATAGACAAATCCATCAAGACAGAAAGTATATTAGTGGTTGCCAGGGGCTGGTGAGATGTGTGGACCAGGCAGTGACTGCTGATGGGTCAGAGTTTATTTGGGGCATAACAAACATGTTCTGAAATTAGACAGAGGTGGCCAGGCGCAGTGGCTCACACCTGTAATCCCAGCACTTTGGGAGGCCGAGGCGGGCAGATCATTTGAGGTCAGGAGTTTGAGACTAGCCTGGCCAACGTGGCAAAACCCTGTCTCTACCAAAAAGTGCCAAAAAAATAAAATAAGACAGCAGTGATGGTTCTGCAACCCTGTGAATACACTGAACAACACTGAAATGTACACATGGTGAATTGTACAAAAGGGTAAATCTCACATCCTGTAAATTATCTCTCAATAAAGCTGTTATTAAACAGAGAGAGAGAGAAGGAGAGAAAAGGGGGAGATAAGATGAGGACGGTAATGGGAGTGACAGCGAAGAGAGAAATAGAGAAAACAGCAGAGAAGAGAGTGCCTAAGAGGGAGAGAAACCCCTCCCCCACTCCCCACAGTTAGAGGAAGGTCTTCCAGAGCCCTGTTTACAAACCAGTTCTGCCAACTCTACCCCCTGCCCAAATTTCCCCAAATTGCTCAGCTCAGTTGTGATCTGGTCATTGTCATTCCCTCCAAGAGAAGGGGATGCATCTTCTTTAAGAGTGCGGCAAGCAAGGCGTGGGCAGGAGGGACGCTGGCCCAGTTACCTGGCGAGTCTGTGGCTCAGGTGAGCAGGGGACCCAGGTGTTGTCACCCCAGGACTCTCAACACTCTTCTCCGTCTACTTGACTTTGACCTTCCAAATTGCTTCCTGTTAGGTTAACACCTGGCTCTTTAGGGCTAAACTGGAGGGCTTTGTTTAGGGATAAACTTGAAGGCCTTTCAAAGTTGACACGATCAACAGGGAGCAGGCCTCTGAGCCCTGTGGGCCTGGGTGTGGCTGAGCCAGTCTGTTGTGGAAACAGGGCCAGCAGGTGTCCGGTAGTGTGGTCTGGGGGGTCAAGACTCTGAAGGTGAGGGTGGCCTGGCTGGGGCCACAGCCTCTGAGTTTGGCCTGGCTTTTGCCTCATGTTCAGCTCAGGAGCCTCCTGCAAGTGATCAGCTTCTCTTCTCATGTTGTCCCTCTTCTCCAGAGCCTGGTGCTGCGTCAGGTTGTCACCAAGACCAGGGATCAACCAGAAAGGGCTGGAGTGGAAATAGAGCCCCAGGAGCCACCCAGACTAAGGTTGCCGACAATCTGTGAGACTGAGTTCAATTCAGTGGTCATAACCAACATTTATTTCAACAGGATGACACTGAATGAAATAGAATAGAATAGACCCACATACATTGTATGTAAAAGTCAACTGAGTTCTTTTTGAAATTTCTGTTGGTTTTTATACACACAGATGCACTTACTGGGTCAGAGTATAAAATGTATTTATTAAAGTGAACTGGGGCCAGAAACGTTGGAAAGCCACTGATCTAGAGAGATGTCCTCATTGTATAGACAAGGGGAGAACCTTTTGCCCATGGCTGGGAGTCAAACCAGCAATCCTGACCTCTCCCCTGCTTTCCCACCATATCGTGCTCAGGGTCCTCACTCAAAAAGCCTCTTGTTGCACGTGCTACGGAGCTCTGCTGTTCTCTAAACACCCTGCATTCTCCTGCCTCTGAGCCTTTGCTCAAGCTCTTCCCTCGGCTTGGAAGGCCCTTCCCTCCCATATCCATTAGAATTAAATATTCTATGCTTCAAGGCAGCATTTGAAGACAACTTCCCCCGGGGTGCCGAGGAGCTAGCTCATTATTATGAAGATGAAAAATAAAGAATCAAACATTGATCCAGCCTTTCCATCCAAGCCAAATAGTTGACAAGGGAAATATCTTCACGACAGAGAACCTTCGGCTAACAAGTGCAGAAAGAATGATAGAAAAGCACTACTTGGCAGCCCCTAATGAGAAGTGGATCTCAGCACAAATCATTAGTGGACAGAATTTTATAATGGGTGCACTATCTGGTGGATGAAGTTTAACACCAGTAAAAGTGGGACAGCTGGACACTTTGTGTCTCCTTCGAGGTGCGATAGGAAGTACCCACCTATGGATTCTTCCTGCCTAAGAAATCTCCAGTCCTGATCTCAACTACCAGAGTTCAGGAAAGACAGAGGCAGAGGGACATCCACAAAGATTCAATCAGTCAAACCCAGAAGGTAGGATATGCCGCAGGACACAGTACCTGGTTCGTTCAACAGCTAAATGACATGAAAAAATGGCACTGATCTAGGTATAGATTTAAAGACATTTAAGAAATATGCTAGTTAAACATGTGTGCGTATCTTTTTTGGATCTTGACTTGAATAAACCAGCTGTAAAAAGGCATTTTTCTTTCTTTCTTTTTTTTTTTTTTTTTTTTTTTTTTTTGAGACATGGTCTCACTCGGTGCAGCAGACTGGAATGCAGTGGTATGGTCACAGCTCGCTGCAGCCGCAACTTCTGGGGCTCAAGCAATTTTCTCACTTCAGCCTTCTGAATAGCTGGGACTATAGGTGAACATCAACACACCTTGCTAATTTTTAAACAAATTTTTTTTTTGTAGAGACTGAGTCTCGCTATTGTACCCAGGCTGGTCTCAAACTCCTGAGCTCCAGTGATCCTCCCACCTTGGCCTCCCAAAGTGCTGGGACTACAGGCATCAGCCACCACATCTGATCTTATTTTTTCTTTTTCTCTTCTGCTTTGCTGCTGAATAACAAGATATTTTTGACAAGTGGGGGAAATATGAACACTGATAGGTATTAAACGATAGTAAGTAGTTTTTTAAATTAATTAATTAATTAATTTTTTTTTTAAAGACAGAGTCTTGCTCTGTTGCCCAGGCTGGAGTGCAGTGGCGCAATCTCGGCTCACTGCAACCTCCACCTCCCTGGTTCAAGTGATTCTCCTGCCTCAGCCTCCCGAGTAGCTGGGATTACAGGTACCCGCCACCATGCCTAGCTAATTTTTGTATTTTTAGTAGACACAGGGGTTTCACCATGTTGGCCAGGCTGGTCTTGAACTTCTGGCCTCAGGCGATCTGCCCGCCTCAGTCTCTCAAAGTGTTGGGATTACAGGTGTGCGACCATATTTGTTTTGGCTCTGATAAGGTATTGTGGTTATATTTTTTAAATATGGGGGATAAGAGCTTGAGCATAATGTTGATAATATTGAAGGTGGCCAACTGGTACCTTGGGTTCATCATCCTATTCTCTTTACTTTTGCATGTGTTTGAATTTTTCCACAATAAATAGCTTTGGGTTTTTTTTTTTTTTTTTTCCTGAGATGGAGTCTCCCTCTGTCACCCAGGCTAGAGCGCAGTGGCGCAATCTCGGGTCACTGCAACCTCTGTCTCCCAGGTTCAAGTGATTCTCCTGCCTCAGCCTCCCAAGTAGCTGGGATTACAGGCACCCACCACCACACCTGGCTAATTTTTGTATTTTAATAGCGATGGTATTTCACCATGTTACCCAGGCTGGTCTTGAACTCCTGACCTCAAGTGATCCACCCGTCTCGGCCTCTCAAAGTGCTGGGATTACAGGCGTGAGCCACCGCACCCAGCCAAGAAGTACAGCCTTGTGCCACATCACGATGTTTAGACCGATGATGGACCATATATATGACGGTGGCCCCATAAGATTATAATAGGGCATATGCAGAAACCCGATATATGGTGCTCGATATTGGCCTTGAGGATCAAGCAGGGGAAATGACTGATGTTCAGTAATGGGACATGTGCTGGGACATGTGGCTTTCCATGTGGAAAACAAACATGTAAATAAATATATATATAAACCATCTAGGTTTATGTAAACTCTCGATTTCATTGTTGTGTGAACTCTATGATATTCATACAACAAAGAAATCATCTGATGATGCATTTCTCAGAATGTGTCTCCATCATTAAGCAACAGCTGACTGTGTTCCTACCAATGACATCTAGTTTTCTCCCAAGAGAAGTTCTAGGGCCAGGCACGGTGGCTCACACCTGTAATCCCAACACTTTGGGAGGCGGAGGTGGGCAGATCACCTGAAGTCAGAAGTTCAAGACTAGCCTGGCTAACATGGCGAAACCCTGTCTCTATTTAAAATGCCAAAAATTAGCCAGGCATGGTGGTGCATGCCTATAATCCCAGCTACTCGGGAGGCTGAGGCAGGAGAATGGCTTGAACCCAGAAGGTGGAGGTTGCAGTGAGCCGAGATCGTACCACTGCACTCCAGCCTGGCGGGGGACAGAGCAGACTCTGTCTGGAAAAAAAAAAATTAAAAAGAGAGAGAGAGGAGAGAGAGAGAGAAGTTCTAGTAAATGCAACTGTATTCACCCTGTTGTATTTCCAGGGATGTTTGAATAAACCCAGTAGACTGGTGCCTGGAAATTGCCCAGTGAGTCTGCCTGTTAATCTGGATCTGGGTTTATCACACCTACCTTCCCTCCTGTCCCGTCCACCCCAGCCACCCACAGTGCCCACGCTGCCTCTATCCGAGGGAGCATCCTCTGGATACTAGACCCTCCCAAGCTGATCATCCAAAGACATCTTATCCAGATATAAAACTGGATACACAAAGAAGCCACATCAACCATATAGTCGGTACTTAATAAGTGTCTGAATACATGAATTATTTGATTAATGAATTAATGAATGCTGGGTCACAGGAGGTGGGTCATGCCAGAGACAAAACAGATTAATTGATTGAATGAATGAGAGAGCAGAGATTGGGGTCTCTTTGACCTGTAGCACAGATGCCAGCCTAGCTCCTCACCTGTCTTCACCCCAAGGCTCAGCCACAGCAGGAGGAGGAGGACCAGCCACGTGGCAGCAGGCATCAAGCAGAGATAGAAGTGCTGCAGCGTCCAAGGCCTGGTCTTTAAATATCCACCCATCCCAGCCAGCCCACCTGGTTCCTCCCTACTCCTGGGGAGGAACCAGCAGACACCTGGGCAGTCACTGGCAGACAGCAGGAGTGACACAGGTATCCCAGCTGCTTGAAATAGCTCACCCAAGCAGAGGTAATTTTGACATCCTGGAAACTCCAGCCTCCAGGGGAAGAATCTGAAAAACCAGAGTGACAAAATGACAGCGCTCACAGGAACTTTGCAGATTATCTAATCTTTTTATTTATTTTATTTTATTTTTTGAGACAGAGTCTCACTCTATCGCCCAGGCTGGAGTGCAGTGGTACGATCTCAGCTCACTGCAACCTCTGCCTCCCGGGTTCAAGAGGTTCTTCTGCTTCAGCCTCCCCAGTAGCTGGGATTACAGGTGGCTACTATTACACCCAGCTAATTGCTGTATTTTTAGTAGAGACGAGTTTTCACCACGTTGGCCAGGCTGGTCTCAAACTCCTGACCTCAGGTGATCCACTGCCTCAGCCTCCCAAAGTGCTGGGATTACAGGCATGAGCCACCACACCTGGCCAATTGACTTTTATTAGCATTCATATACAGGTTTTGTGTGAATATATGTTTTCATTTCTCCGGGATAAATGTGCAAAAATGAAATTACTGCATCATATAGTAGTTGCACATTCAGTCATAAAAAAAAACAGCCAAGCTGTTTCCCAGAGTGGCTGCACCACTTTAAATTCTCACAGCAGTGATTGAGTGGTACAGTTCCTTTGCATCCTTGACAATAGTATTGTTACTATTTTTTATTTTGGTGATTCTTTTTTTTTTTTTTTTTTTTGAGACATAATCTTGCTCTGTCGCCCAGGCTGGAGCGCAGTGGCATGATCTCAGCTTACTGCAACCTCCGTCTCCTGGGTTTAAGCAATTATCTTGCCTCAGCCTCCCAAGGTGCTAGGACTACAGGCGTGTGCCACCACACCTGGCTAATTTTTGTGTTTTCAGCAGAGACAGGGTTTTGCCATGTTGGCCAGGTTGGTCTTGAATTCCTGATCTCATGTGATCTGCCTGCCCCAGCCTCCCAAAGTGTTGGGATTACAGGTGTGAGCCACCATGCCTGGCCTTATTTTGTTGATTCTAACACGTGGTGATATCTCCTGGTTTAAAGAAGCGTTTCCCTAATGGTATCAAACATCTTTTCATGTGCTTATTTGCAATCTGTATATCTTCTCCAGTGAAATGTTGCTTTGTATCTTTTGCTCATGTTCTAATTGCATTCTTTGTTTTGTTACTATTTTAAGACTTTTAAATGTATTCTAGATACTAGTCCTTTGCAAATATAGTCATGCATCGCATAAGGACATTTTGGTCAATGACAAACTGCATATAGGATGCGGTCCCATAAGATTATAATAATGGGCCTGAAAAAATTCCTGTTGCCGAGTGCAATGCTACTCATGTGTCTAGTGATGCTCGTGTAAAGCTACTGTGCTGCCACTTGCATAAAAGCACAGCGCACACCATTCTGTACAGTACACAATACTTGATAATGATAATAAATGTGTTCCTGGATAGCACAGCACACACCATTCTGTACAATACACAATACGTGATAATGATAATAAATGTGTTCCTGGTTTATGTATTTACTATAATATACTATTGATCAGTGTTTTAGAGTGTACTCCTTCTCTCTATAAAAGAATTAAGTGAACTAGCAGGCCCTTTGGGAAGTACTGTAGAAGGCATTGTTACCACAGGCGATGACAGCTCCATGTGTGTTATTGCCCCTGAAGACCTTCCAGAGAGACAAAATGTGGAGGTGGAAGACAGTGATACTGATGACCCTGACCCTGTGTGGATCTAGGCTAACATGTGTTTTTGTGTCTTAGTTTTCAACAAAAAAGTTTAAAAAGTTAAAATACTAAGTTTATAAAGTTAAAAAGTTACAGTAAGCTAAGGCTGACTTATTGAAAAAATGTGCTTATACATGTAATATAGCTAAGCTGGCTTTTGCAAACATAGAGTCCTGTGGATGTTATGCTGACTTCGGCTTGGGGTTTTTCACAGAGAGAAGCATGGCAAGGGGGACTCCATCAGGTTGGTGCAAAGGTAATTGCTGTTTTCGCAATTAAAATAATGGGAAAAACTGCAATTACCTTTGCACCCACCTAATAACTTATCTAGGGGACTCTTTCTCCACCCAAAACCCAGGACACTTGGCCCACAACTACATCACCACCCCAGGGTTCCAGGACACTTGGCCCATGACTACATCACCACCCCAGGGTTCCAGGACACTTGGCCCACAACTACATCACCACCCCAGGGTTCCAGGACACTTGGCCCATGACTACATCACCACCCCAGGGTTCTTTACTATAGTTTTCTTGTTCTTCCTTCAATTACGTGTGACATTCCCAACTCCAAGATTCTTCCAGTCCTTCTCTCCCCCTTCATCTAAAGCAGGCTGTCATGAGTTTCTGTCAGCTGCAATCAAGAGTCATGACTCTTACAGTGGGTAGGATTACTCCCTTTTTTGTTGTCATTAAGGAAACCTGTAAGAGGAAAAACAAACACACTTTATGTGGAGAGACAGGGAAAGTTGTTCTATTCAGTCTGGAATCTAGTCCCTCAGCTGGTGGTCCACCTTCGGATTCACTGGTCTTGGGAGTAAGACGGTGCCTTGTAGTCAAAGAAGTGAGGAATTCTGGTGCCTCCTGAGGGTGGAACTGAGGAGAGGAGACGTGAGAGAGGATGCTGGAAAGGAGGAAGCAGCCAGAATGTGTAGGGCCTTTGTGGCCAGGCCAAGGAGCCTCAGGGAATATCTGAGCGTCTTAAATAGGTCAGAGGGCAATTCTGAAAACAAACTCCTTCTACCTGCTGTGTAGGCAATGAGTTGTCATTGTTAGATAGAGGATAAAATGAACCCAATTAGATTATTGCCATCATTCCAGTGATTGAAGATGTTGATCTGTAATAGGGTAATGGCCATACACTTTCGAGAGGAAAAATGTTCAAATTTAGGGGATAATTAGAAATCTGCACTTACAGCCCTTGGTGACACTTTTCCTATGAGCCAAACGGAGAGGGGGAGAGAGAGAGAAGGTGGACAGTCACCGACATATGAGGCAGTGGAAGAGGAACAGGCATGGATAGGAAGAGAATTGTGGGACACACTGGGTTCGAGATGCCTGTGTGAGACAGTCTCATGAATATGTCCAGTAGTATATTGACCAAGCAAGTCTGTCAGGAGCCTCTGGAAATGAGGTACAGAATTTGATAGTCATCACTATGGAGATGGTAACCTGAGCCGTGAGAGAAGCTAAAATCCCCGGGGAGAGGATGTAGAATGAGAGGAGAAAATGGGCCAGGACAAACACAAGGAATGCTCGGAGGGAGGGGCAAAACCAGAACAGTACAGCGTCCCCAAACCAAGGAAAAGAATGTTGCCAGAAGAGGAGAGTCAGGCTGTTTCAAACTCTGCTAAGAAGTGAAGGATGTTGCATATTGAGTAGAGTCCATTGGGGTTACCAGTCAGGCTGACTCAGGGATCCTCTTTGGCAGAAGTAGTTCCAATGAAGTGGGAGGAGGAAGGGAGGAGCAGAGGCCAAATGAGCGTGAGGAGTGTTTAGGAGTTGACAGAAAGTGTATCCACTTTTTTGAGACGTTTAGCCAGGAAGAGGGAGAGACATGGGGCAGTAGGTGGAGGAGGAGATGAAATTAAGGGAGTGTATGGAGTTTTAAAATGGAAAGCTTGATCCTGTTTAAATGCTGTTTTATGCCCCTACGAGGGCGAGGTTAAACATACAGAATAGAGGCATAACTGATAGAGCCAAGACTCCCACCCAGGAGCGGGTTTCGAGCGGCACCTCTCTAATTCAATCCCAAAGGAAAAGAGGATACATGTGGGTCCAGGTACATGCTGAGGTTTGGTGGCAGGACTTTGAAGGAGGTCCCATCTGATGGCTTCTATTTCTCCTGTGAAATAGGGGAAGCCCTGTCTGCTGGTTGTGATGTGCCGTGACAGTCAGAAATGCGGGGAAAAGGGGACAGGTCTGAAACGGGAGGCGTTAAGAATGGGAAAGTAAAGGCAGGCGCGATGGCTCACGCCTGTAATCCCAGCACTTTGGGAGCTCGAGGCGGGTGGATCACCTGAAGTCGGGCATTTGAGACCAGCCTGGCCAACATGGTGTAACCCCATCTCTACTAAAAATACAAAAATTAGCCAGGCATGGTGGTGTGTGCCTGTAATCCCAGCTACTTGGGAGGCTGAGGCAGGAGAATCGCTTGAACCCAGGAGGTGGAGGGTGCAGTGAGCTGAGATCGCGCCGCTGCACTCCAGACTGGGTGGCAAAGCGAGACTCCAACTCAAAAAAAAAAAAAAAAAAGAATGGGAAAGGGAGAGTGTCTGGGGAAGCAGCGTTGCCTCGGCAAGGCCTGAGACCGGCTGGGGTTAGAGATCAGGACTCCCGCGTGGCCTCGTCTCTGCCTCTGTGCATTTTCCCCCAGCAGGTCAGCAGTGTGAAAGGCGGGGGTTCTAGTAGGTCTCACAGGGAGACAATGCAGGAAGGGGCTGAGAATTGCAAGTGAGAGGTTATTGGTAGGACGGACAATGCAGGAGCTGGATGGACTGCACGGACTGAGCGATCGCCACCGAGAGATATTTGGGGTACCCTGCCCCAGTCCCCAGCCCTCAGCCCCCGACCCACCATGGGAGGTGGGAGCAGCGGGCAGGCCGGTTGGGGGCCAGATACCCAGGCAGTGGGATGTGCAGTGGGAGGGGTCTCCGCCCCTGCCCCGGGTCCCCACTGGCCCCTCCGCCGCCGACCGGCCCCCCCGCGGCATCCCAGAGCCGACCCAGGCCCAACTAGAGGAATGGCTGCAGAGCTGGGATCCTAATGACACAGGACAGTGGTGGAGCGTTAAGAGCTCGGTGGTAAACGTGCACTGAAATACAGTCATGCTGTGCAGAAGCTCTCTAGTTTCATTAGATACCTTTTGTCAATTTTGGCTTTTGTTGCCATTTCTTTTGGTGTTTTAGTCATGAAGTCTTTGCCCATGCTTACGTCCTCAATGGTGTTGCCTAGGTTTTCTTCTAGGATTTTTCTGGTTTTAGGTCTCACGTTTAAATCTTTAATGCATCTTGAGTTAATTTTTGTATAAGTGTCAGCAAGGGGTCTAGTTTCGGTTTTCTGCATATGACCAGGCAGAGTGAACAGGCAACCTACAGAATGGAAGAAAATTTTTGCAATCTATCCATCCGACAAAGGGCTAATATCCAGAATTTACAAGGAACTTAAGTAAATTTACAAGAACAAACAACCCCATCAGAAAGTGTGCAAAGGATATGAACAGACACTTCTCAAGACATTTATGCAGCCAACAAACATGAAAAAAACTCATCGTCACTGATCATTAGAGAAATGCAAATCAAAACCACAATGAGATATCATCTCACACCAGTTAGAATGGTGATCATTAAAAAGTCAGGAAACAACAGATGCTGGAGAGGATGTAGAGAAATAGGAATAGTTTTACACTGTTGGTGGGAGTGCAAATTAGTTCAACCATTGTGGAAGACAGTGTGGCGATTCCTCAAGGATCTAGAACTAGAAATACCATTTGACCCAGCCATCCCATTACTGGGTATATACCCAAAGGATTATAAATCATTCTACTGTAAAGACACATGCACACGTATGTTTATTTATTATTTTTGAGACGGAGTCTTGCTCTGTTGCCAGGCTGGAGTGCAGTGGCACGGTCTCGGCTCACTGCAACCTCCACCTCCCGGGTTCAAGCGATTCTCTTGCCTCAGCCTCCTGAGTAGCTGGAACTACAGGCACACACCACCACGCCCAGCTAATTTTTTGCATTTTACTAGAGAAGGGGTTTCACCATGTTGGCCAGAATGGTCTTGATCTCCTGACCTCGTGATCCACCCGCCTCAGCCTCCCAAAGTGCTGGGATTACAGGTTTGAGCCACCGCGCCCAGCCCCGAGCACATGTATGTTTATTGCGGCACTATTCACAATAGCAAAGACTTGGAACCAACCCAAATGCCCATCAATGACAGACTGGTTAAAGAAAATGTGGCACATAGACACCATGGAATACTATGCAGCCATAAAAAAGGATGAGTTCATGTCCTTTGCAGGATCATGGATGACACTGGAAACCATCATTCTCAGCAAACTAACACAGGAACAGAAAACCAAACACTGCATGTTCTCACTCATAAGTGGAAGTTGAACAATGAGAACATATGGACACAGGGAGGGGAACATCACACACCGGTGCCTGTTGGGAGGTTGGGGGCAAGGGGAGGGATAGCATTAGGAGAAATACCCAATGTAGATGACAGGTTGATGGGTGCAGCAAACCACCATGGCACATATATACCTATGTAACAACGCTGCACGTTCTGCACATGTATCCCAGAACTTAAAGTATAATAATAATAATAATAAAGGAATTGAGAGACTGTTGATATCAACTGTTCCCTGAGCCACATGGAAAGCTGTATCCTCTGCAGGCTGCTTGGTGAGTATGTGAGGAGGTATATTCATTCACTTTGAGACCTATTTCTCTAAGAAAGGGTCCTGAAAGGCTTTCCCCTGCTACAGGGACAGCCCTTGGCAAGGAAGCCACTGTCCTCAGGCACACAGGGCTCCTTCATCTCCTGCAACAGATACAGCCCTTGGCAAGGAAGCCACTGTCCTTGAGCACATAGACAGGGCTCCTTCATCTCCTGCAACAGGGACAGCCCTTGGCAAGGAAGCCACTGCCCTTGAGCACATAGACAGGGCTCCTTCATCTCCTGCAACAGGGACAGCCCTTGGCAAGGAAGCCACTGTCCTTGAGCACATAGACAGGGCTCCTTCATCTCCTGCAACAGGGACAGCCCTTGGCAAGGAAGCCACTGTCCTTGAGCACATAGACAGGGCTCCTTCATCTCCTGCGACAGGGACAGCCCTTGGCAAGGATGTCACTTCCTTGGGCACACAGACAGGGCTCCTTCAGCAGACAGCAGATAGATATGCAATGCAAGCCTTGGTTTTTTGGGATGATTCCAATGCAGCACCAGATACGTGTGTCCAATTCTGGGGTTTGCTCATAGGAAACCCATGTGCCAGCAAATCTATGTCACATTCTCCAGTATCACCTTTATAAGGAATAAAGTCAATTTACTGTTCTTCTGTAAAAAGAAAGAAACGTATTCATGACTGTAGCTTGGCTGTCACTCAAGTGCAAGTGAATGGTGGATGTGGCCGCGCGGCTCCACGCACTGATTCATAATCCCCAAAAGGGACAAGGGCAGACCCAGCTCTCTGCAGGGCAAACGCTCCACAACCCAAAACACTTGTTTCTGTTGTTGTTGCTGTTTGGAAACTCCCTCTTCTATTTCCCACCTCCCTCTTTCCCGTTCTCATTCCCTTTTCTCTGCTCCTATTTCTGTTTCCCTCAGTTCCACCTAATACCCCGTGGTGTCACCCTAGCCCTTTCCTCTACCCACTCCAGCCTTACTACCCCCAACGTCCCACACCCTGGGAAACACCAAGGTCTGCCTCTGTACCTCCAAGTTCTTTCCCCGTTATTGCCCTGGGTCAGTCCTTTGTGGGGGCTCCTCTCTCCTCTCTTGATTTCTTTTCATCTGGCTAACCTCTAATCCTGTAAGATTTACCTCAAATATCTTTCAAGAAGTATTTTCTGAATCCAAGGAGGACCTAAAAGCCATTCTGCTGGCCTCCCAGAGCTGAATCTGCCCATCTCCCCCGGATTATATTAAAATTATAAGTCATGTAAAATCCTTTTGGAACGAGACAGGGTATGATAAATAAGAAATATTCAACAAGTATACGTTACTTGTGTACACATACCACCTGACTTCTTTAACAACACATTGCAAGAAATAAAAAGATGGAGACATACGGCTGGGCGCAGTGGCTAATGCCTGTAATCCCAGCACTTTGGGAGGCCAAGGCAGGTGGATCACTGAGGTCAGGAGTTCGACACCAGCCTGGCCAACATGGTGAAACCCCCATCTCTACTAAAAATACAAAAATTAGCCAAGTGTGGTGGCAGGCACCTGTAATCCCAGCTACTCGGAAGGCTGAGGCAGGAGAATCTCTTGAACCCGGAATGCGGAGCTTGCAGTCAAGCAAGATTATGCCACTGCACTCCAGCCTGGGTGACACAGCAAGACTCCATCTCAAAAAAAAAAAAAAAAAGAAAAAGAAAAAGAAAAAACACCATGCATGCATACTCATATGAATGTACAAATGGATGAGTCTAGAACAAAAGATACTAGCCTGATACATATACAAACTATGCAGCTGCAGTCCCTGCCTCTTCCGCAACCCTGACCTCTAAGAAAGCTCTAACTCTGAATCCTGTCAGCACCTGGGCTGTGCTGCTTGGGACAACATTGTCTTCACAAGTCCTCTCCACATTCTCAGAGGTGGGGGTATTGCCAATGATGGGGGTTACTGCCTGAGTCCCGTCACCAGGGGACAAAGCTACAGCAGACACCACCATCTGCCAACAAAAAGAGAGATCATCTCCCACCCCTGGTTCTGCTGACGCAATCACTGGAAGCATCGAGGCACCACTATGTCCTCACCTGCCTCGGATTCAATTTCCTCCTAGCCAGGTCTGTTCTAAGGTCTCCAGAAGTTGAGAAATTAATTGAAAGATAACACTTTCCTCCCTGTGTTAAGGTTTATCACATAATGTATCCAAATACTGGGCCAGTCTTTCCTTTGGTCTCATTTCTATGAGCTAATCTGAAAATGCCTTTTCTGTTTTCCTTAGAATTTTTCTAAATGTTTCTGGGCGCTTGTGTTCCTGAGGCTTTCCACAGTGCACCCTCTTGTTCATCTGATGTCTTTGGCACATATAGGCCCTCGACAGGTAGTTGTTCAATGAACAGATGACCATCCTGTCCTTTGTGTGAACAAGCATAGCAAGTGCACATTGTATCTGTTTGTGTATCCAACAGCGTCCCTCCAAAGCCACTTTGTTCACTTATTTTCTCAGGATCACGGACGGCTGCATCTTGACATAAGCACACAGAATCTTTCCTTTTCCAGTCACTTTTCCTTTTTCCAGATTCCGGCCATAGAATTCCAGGCACAGAGCCAACCATGCCTGGCACCCCCTCCTGTCTTGGGACAAGGATACTTTCTCCTGTGGCTCCCATCTTGCTTCCAACATTCTTCTGCCAGAATTCAGTTTGGCGGACAATGACCTACTACTTTTAATTTTTTTCCCCTTTTTGCTCTTCTACCAAATACCGCTTTTCACCCAGGCTTTTCACTGCGTAGTGGACAATCTATCAAACAGGTGCTGTCCAGCGTGAGGGGCAGTTGCAAAGGTCTGCATCGGTGCTGGCTGATGGAACTTTCCGGTGATGGCATCATTCCGTAGCTGCACTGTCCAGTGAGGAGGCTACTTGCCACTGTGGCTACTGCTTGGGATGGTGCAGGTCTGAATATCTTACTCACAGCTCACCTTTTTGGTGCCTTTGATCCGTATTAGGAATTATCCACATCTTCTCTCTGGGCAATATTCTACTTTTTATATTGACCCAATTATTTTACTTCTTTGGTGTGTCCTTTCTCCTAACACATATGGGTTCACTTTGAAACCCTGAAACCCACATTTACAAAAACATTTTCAATATGAAACATTGTTCCATGACTCATTACTGGAGTACCATCAACATTTACATTTCCAGACCACCCACTGCCCAGTGGTTTTCTTGGTCTCAGTACTCATGAAAACGGTCTGAAGGTTTGTTTTGGGTTCCTAAGTAGTAGACACACGCACAACACTGCCTGTCAGTTATTTCTTGGAAACTAAATCAGCCCTTCTGTTGCCATCCTATCATGCTTCAGGGGTGCCTGTGCTAGTTTTTAATTCTTTGTCCTAACACTTAAATGTTTGCTCAAACGCCCATATTAATACTTCCTCTTAGTTTACAAAAGGATTTACTTTCTTACTGGTTGGGATGAAGCTGCCTGAGGTTGCCACCTGTTATTTTTCCTTCATTTATTGGACCATGTCATCCCATTACATGTTAGCCGTGGAGGTTTTCAAACTGTGTTCCCTGGACATGTTAGAAATGCAAATTCTCAGACCGAACCAGGACTGAATCGGAAGATCTGGGGTAGGGTCCCTCCAGGACTGAAAACGGAAGGTCTGGGGTGGGGTACCCCAGGACTGAATCGGAAGGTCTGGGGTGGGGTCCCCCCAGGACTGAATCGGAAGGTCTGGACGAGGGTCCCCCCAGGACTGAATCAGAAGATCTGGGGTAGGGTCTCCCCAGGACTGAATCGGAAGGTCTGGGGTGGGGTCCCCCCAGGACTGAATTGGAAGGTCTGGACTAGGGCCCCCCCAGGACCGAATCGGAAGGTCTGGACTAGGGTCCCCCCAGGACTGAATTGGAAGGTCTGGGGTAGCGTCCCTCCAGCTGATCCTGTTACACAGGTTAGAGAACCATGGCATTAGGGGTAGCAATTTGACAATTCTTTTTTTTTTTTTTTGAGACAGAGTCTCACTCTTGTTGCCCAGGCTGGAGTGCAGTGGCGCACTCTCGGCTCACTGCAACCTCCGTCTCCCAGGTTCAAGCAACTCTCCTGCCTCAGCCTCCTGAGTAGCTGGGATTACAGGCACCCATCATCATGCCTGGCTAATTTTTTGTATTTTTAGAGATGGGGTTTCACTATGTTGGCCAGGCTGGGACAATTCTTAAACTGTCATTCTTTACTCACTTACTTGCAGGAATTCTTATGTAAAGAACTTTCCCTAATCAACAAGGTTTCCCTGAATTGCAATTTGTAGAGAAAAGACAGGATAATTACTGATCTTCCTTCAAGTGTCCATTCCCAGTGTTAGGAGTTAGTGCCCTAGGTACCTCCAAGAGTGACCAATTACATGTGTTTGTTTGGTTTTGGCTTTGAAACCACCACTATGAATTCATGGTTTTCATGTATTAGAGACCACTTTCTAGGTGCTTGATGTGTCTACTGCTACTGGGGCAGAGGTAGAAAATGTGTCTACGGTAAAAGAACAACAAATGAGTTCACGCTTATATTTCTATTTCAAATTTAGTATACGGTTTTACACCTTTTTCTCAGAAAAATCTTGTTTTATTTTTTGAGATAGAGTTTTGTTCCTGTTGCCCAGGCTGGAGTGCAGTGGCACAATCTCGGCTCACTGCAATCTCTGCCTCCTGTTTCAAGCGATTCTCCTGCTTCAGCCTCCCCAATAGCTGGGATTACAGGCACCTGCCACCATGCCCAGCTAATTTTTCAATTTTAGTAGAGATGGCGTTTCACCATGTTGGCCAGGCTGGTCTCAAACTCCTGACCTCAGGTCATCTGCCCACCTCGGCCTCCCAAAGTGCTGGGACTTGGGAGGATTTTCCCTTGCCAGAAAAATCTTAGTTTTAGCATTAACATAATTAGTTATTTGCTTTAACTCCCACCCCACATAATTTCAAAGGATTAATACCTATAAGACGAGTAACGGAGATGATTGATTGAAATTTAGGATTCAGTGGCTCTATTTGTCTTTAGACTATGGCTCACTAAATCTGCACACTTGAAGTGCTGTGTTCTAGCGATCCTCTGATGACACATGAAGTAATAGGCTGCGTGACTGTCACCAGCCTGATGTGCAGTTGGGCTGCAGAACCCCGTGATGCTGCCTAGCCCAGCCAGCCCCAGGTCACTCCTCAGACTCAAACTCGATTCTGACACCACCAGCACCCGGGACGCTGCCTAGGGGCTTTCTCTGGTGGCAGCAGCATGTCCTGGAGCAGGCCAGGGGTGCCCGGAATTGACCATCCTGAACCTGTGCAGCGTGGGCTGGTGAAGGAACGCACCAGCTCCCACAGTGAACACGGGCCCAGCTGTCCACATGAGACCCGGCTCCCGGACGCCCCATGCTGCCGCCTCTTTCCTGTCTCACCTCCCACTTCCCTTCAGCTGCTGCTCAGGGCCACCTTCCAAATTTTTGTCTCAGGGTTGGCGCCTGTAGAATGCAATCCAAGGAATTTAGATTCATTCATTTCAGATACCATTCTTTCAATTTTAGGGACTATCTTAAAAACTTAGTTTGGTAATATGTAAAACACTTACAATTTCAAAGTCCAGATATTACTTCAGAGTCTATTTCGGTCTCACTTCCACCACTGACCCCTGTCCTCCACAGCAACCACTTTAGATTTTTATCTTTGTACTGTTTTAAGAAAAAGCAAATATATATTTGCATTATATTATATGTACTCTGCCCCTTATCAATAGGCGTTCCTCATTCCTCCTTCTGGT
Organism: Homo sapiens; assembly: GCF_000001405.40. Classification (NCBI taxonomy): domain Eukaryota; kingdom Metazoa; phylum Chordata; class Mammalia; order Primates; family Hominidae; genus Homo; species Homo sapiens. The sequence continues at coordinate 104,425 of NT_187690.1, forward strand.
ACGGAGTTCCCCACTGCACGAATTAATGTTCCTAATCCCTTACTGATGGACATTTTGATTGTTTCCAGTTTTACAAATGCCACAGTGAAGAACTTTGTGGCAAACACATTCAGGCTGTGAAAAGAACTCTGTGGATAAAGTCCTTTCATTTCTTTGCCAGAGTTTTTTTTGAGGCAGATTCTAGAATTGCTGAGTCTAAGGGCAAATGCCATGTCGTTTTGTTAGATGCTGCCAAATCCTCTTCCATGAGGCTGCAACGTTCTGCATTCCACAGTGACGTATGAGAGTCCTTGTACCCCACAGCTTCATAAACAAAGCATGACAGCAAACCTGCACGTTTACCCATCACACAGTTGAGAAATTTTATCTACTTTCACCTTTTTTTTTGGTTAGCATTTTTATTCCCAGCTTTTTTGTGGTATAATGCGCAGAAGGTAATGAACACATTCTACCTGCAAGCTTCTTCCTGTGCCTTTGGAATCTGCTCCTGCCAGTCTGCAGGGAACCACGGATCTGCTTTCCGTCACGTAGGAGGCATTCTCGACACCCTCTGTACACAGCATGCGCTTTATTTGGCTTCTCTTACGCAGCGTAGTGACTTTCAGATTTATTCAAGCTGCTGCGTGCGCCAACAGTCCACTCCTTCCTAGTGCTGAGGCCCCCATCACATGAGCACAACTGTTTCTTGTGTGTGATGTGTTGTCCTCTGGCTGTGCACTGCCAAAAAAGACATCATTAAAAAAAATTTAAATATAATGTAAGACCTGCCTTGTCTTAGGAAACGTTTTTCTGGCAGTGGCTCACACCTATAATCCCAATACTCTGGGAGGCTGAGGCAGGAGGACTGCTTGAGCCCAGGAGTTTGGGACCAGCCTGGGCAAGAGGGTGAAACCCTGTCTCTAAAAATTAGCCAGGCATGGTGGCTCACACCTGTAGTCTCAGCTCTTAGGGAGGCTGAGGTGGGAGGACTGCTGGAGCCCAGGAGGTGGAGGCTGCAGTGAGCCGAGATCACACCACTGCACTCCAGCCTGGGCAGCATGGCAAGACTCTGTCTCGACCAAGAAAAAAACAAAAAATTAACAGAAGGAAAAACAAAACGGCTTTCTTATCAAAAATACACTTTAAGAACAAATTTATAATATTAAGTTGCTGCAAAAGTAATTGTGCCTTTTACCATTGAAAGCAATGGCAAATACTGCAATTACTTTTGCTCCAACCTAATATTATTTTCTAATGACAAACTTGGAAATAACTGTCATTGCTCTCTAAAAAGAACAGCCTAAAAATAAAGCAGCAGCCCATTTACTTCTATGCCAGTTCTTTTAGCATTTGGTTATTTAAACCGGCAGTCCCTAACCTTTTTGGCACCAGGGACTGGTTTCACGGAAGACACTTTTTCCACTGACAAGTGTGGGGATGGTTTGGAGATGAAACGGTTCCATCTCAGATCATCAGTATTAGATTCTCATAAGCGGGGCATAACCTAGATCCTTCTCATGCGCAGTTCACAACAGGATTCCACTCCTATGAGAATCTAATGCCACCACTGATCTGACAGGAGGCGGAGCTCACACAGCAATGATATGACAGGGGCGGAGCTCACAATAATGATATGACAGGGGGCGGAGCTCACACAGTAATGATATGACAGGGGGCGGAGCTCACACAGTAATGACAGGGGGCGGAGCTCACACAGTAATGATGACAGCGGGCGGAGCTCACACAGTAATGCTCTGGCAGGGGGCGGAGCTCACACAGTAATGCTCTGGCAGGGGGCGGAGCTCACACAGTAATGATGACAGGGGGCGGAGCTCACACAGTAATGATGACAGGGGGCAGAGCTCACAGTAATGCTCTGGCAGGGGGCGGAGCTCACACAGTAATGCTCTGGCAGGGGGCGGAGCTCACACAGTAATGCTGACGGGGGTGGAGCTCACACAGTAATGCTGACAGGGGGTGGAGCTCACACAGTAATACTCTGGCAGGGGGCGGAGCTCACACAGCAATGCTCTGACAGGGGGCAGAGCTCACACAGTAATGCTCTGGCAGGGGGCGGAGCTCACACAGTAATGCCGACGGGGGTGGAGCTCACACAGTAATGCTGACAGGGGGTGGAGCTCACACAGTAATACTCTGGCAGGGGGCGGAGCTCACACAGCAATGCTCTGACGGGGCAGAGCTCACACAGTAATACTCTGGCAGGGGGCGGAGCTCACACAGTAATGCTCTGACAGGGGGCGGAGCTCACACAGTAATCTCTGGCAGGGGGCGGAGCTCACACAGTAATGCTCTGCCAGGGGGCGGAGCTCACACAGTAATGCTCTGCCAGGGGGCGGAGCTCACACAGTAATCTCTGGCAGGGGGCGGAGCTCACACAGTAATGCTCTGACAGGGGGCGGAGCTCACACAGTAATGCTCTGGCAGGGGGCGGAGCTCACACAGTAATGCTCTGGCAGGGGGTGGAGCTCACACAGTAATGCTCTGGCAGGGGGCGGAGCTCACACAGTAATGCTCACTGGCTGGCTGCTCACCTCCTACTGTGTGGCCTGGTTCCTAACAGGCCATGGACTGGAACAATCTGTGGCCTGGGGATTGGGGACCCCTGATTTAAAGAATCGAGGACACACTCACCTAGCAAACCATCTGCTAAGAAAAAAGGAGGAAAAGCACCAACATTAATTTGAACTTAGAAATAAACTACAAGGCCAGACATGGTGGTTCACACCTATAATTCCAGCACTTCGGGAGGCCAAGGAGGAACGATCACTTAAGCCCAGCAGTTTGAGACCAGCCTAGGCAACAAAGTGAGACCCTGTCCCTACAATTACAAAATAAATGAGCTGGGCGTGGTGGTGCACACCTGTAGCCCCAGCTACTTAGAAGGCTGAGTCGGGAAGATCACCTGAGCTGCCCAGGAGTTTGAGGCTGCAGTGAGCTGAGACTGCACCAACCCTGTCTCAAAAAAAAAAAAAAAAAAAAGAAACTGCAACAAAATATCTGGATTTTGATGTAACAGAATACAAAGATAATTACATTTGATTTTTAGGTCAACAAATATGACAAGTCATAACAGGAAAATATTTTAAATGGATTTGGAAATAAAAGAAAGTTTGTTCATTTATATTTTATTTAACAGCTGTGCCCAGTTTTATCTTGTCACAAGAATGAAGCAAGGGACAAAGGTAAGTGCCACGCTCCCCGGCCACTGGGTGCCAATCCCCCTTCAATGTACTCCTTCTTCCCCAGAGTGCAGAAGCGTATAAAGACAGTTATGACATTGACACATGCATGAGCTATTATACATAATTACAAAAGCTGATTCTGTCATCACCACATCTTGTCTCATCAGTAGGAGTGAATGGCTGGGGGGACAGTGGCACAGTCAGCCTCGTTCAAAGTTTTGTCAATTATGGGTCTATATTCCACAGTGACCTTGAAAAGAAGTCAGTGGTAAGTTAAGCACAAAAATGTACAAAAAGCCATCTCTTGTGTTCCTTTTGAAAAATTTTAACTATAAAAGTAGATTTACGGCATGTGAACTTTAAGGTATTTGCTGCAGTATTTTCCAATAACAAATTCAAAAATGATCTACATGCGCAACAGGGGACTGTAAATGACGGCAGATCGGTAGAGTGGAACAGAGCAACGAAAATGACACTGTACCAGATTCTCAGTGCTTTGCTTTACAAAAATGCTCCCATCATGAAAAGTGGGAGAACCCTTGTCTATACCAAGACACTTCATGTTTAAACTATCTACTTCCAGTTTTTCTACTTCAAAGTAAATATTTATATAGGTAGAACATCCCTAATCCAAACATCTGAAATTCTCCCAAATCTGAAACTTTCTGAGCACCAGCATGACATTCAAAAGAAATGTGCTATGGAGTCAGATCTTCCGATTAAGGATGCTCAGACAGTAAGTGTAATGCAAATATTCCAAAGTCTGAACAAGCCTGAAATCCAAAACACTTCTGGTCCCAAGGATTTCAGAGAAGGAATACTCAAGCCGTGTATTAAATATGCACACACAGGAAAAGGTAGGCACATATACAAAGAAATTTAAACCATAATGGGTCATCTCTGGTTAGTGAGCTCTTATTTCAATCTCTTTGTACTTTCTAAAATGAGTATGTATTTCTTCAAAAATCACTGAAACTGGCTGGGCGTGTTGGTTCATGCCTGTTGGGGAGGCCAAGACAGGTGGATCACTTGAGCTCAGGAGCTCAAGACTAGCCTGGGCAACGTGGCAAAACCCCGTCTCTACAAAACATACAAAAATTAGCCAGGCATGGTGGCATGTGCCCGGGAGGCTGAGGTGGGAGGATCACCTGAGCCGAGGGGAGGTTGAGGCTGCAGTGAGATGAGATCGAGCCACCACATTTCAGCCTGGGCAAAAGAGATGAGACTCTATCTCAGAACAACAAAAACAAAACAAAAAACCTGAACCCGGAAACATTAAAAATAGACTTGTGCTAAGCGAGTGAAGTGTGACCTCTCTATACTATCAGGAAATGGCCTTCATGATAAATTCTGAAAATGACCCACTGCCTGAATCACAGACACACTAGATGATAGTGAGAGTCCAAAGGTAACTTCCACAGACACAGCTAAGTGATTATACGACTCTCCCTTACAAGTTATGAAAAGCTTAAGGGTAAAAGCTTTCTATCTTCATGATTTCTGAATCTCAATGCCCAGTGGAAATGCCACACAGGTGAACTGTGCTTGTGTGGAACAAGCTGCAACCCCCTACCACACCCTCGGCTGGCTGTTCCCAAGACGCTGTGCTTGTGTGGAACAAGCTGCAACCCCCCTACCACACCCTCGGCTGGCTGTTCCCAGGACGCTGCTTACCCCAACCCTGCCTCCATTTCTGCCCTTCTCTGCTTGCTCAGTGCCCAGGGGATGCTAAGGGCTGCACCACATCCCCTCTGCTCCCCTGCAGATGCTTCCAGTTGGCCCAGCCCATGGGAAGAGAGGGGAGGGGTCTCTTCTGGGCTCCCTTGGCTCGGGACTGGTTTCTGGTAGTGGCTCTGTCCCCACCACACAGATGCTGACTTTCTCGCTAGGTCCACAATCATCATCTCCTCCCCTGCCACCAGGCCTTGGACACTTGCTCCTGCCCAGTGACTTCCATCTGGCCCACACCACAGAGCAACCCTTCCTTAAGGCTCCTCTGAACCACCTGCAGGCACTGGATTCTGTTTCCAGCCCGAAGCCCGACTGCTGTCAGAGTGCCTTTTTCAGCGGTGCCTCAAATCTGTCGGGAGTTGATTTAAATCTGGCCTGCTCCTCCGCGTTCACCATCAGCAAGGCCAGCCCGCAGACCTGGGCGGGGCCGTGTGGGTGCTGGGCTGTGGTGAGAACGAGCTCCACACTGACCTTCCCAGTGCCGACGTCCACATAGGACAGGGTGTGCTTCCTCCAGTGCACCTCAAAGGGCTTCTTCTGTTGCCCCTGGATGGGCTTGGAGTGATCATACTCATCAATCTGCACCTGAGGCCAGAAACACCATCACATTTCTCATTACTCTAACAGAGCAATACAGAAAAAACACAGCAAACATTAAAATGATCTAAGAGACAGATGCCCTAGAACCCATTCCATTTCCACTTCAGCCCAGGAGGTTGGCACCATCAACACGTTCAGAACCCACAGAGGCCACATGGCTGGCCAGCGATGTGCAGCCAGCAGTGAGTCCAGAGTAATCCATGTCCGCATGTTCCCTTAGACATCCTTTATGTACCTAAGAGTTTATCAAATACTTTGTCTTTTTGCTCCAAGCGCTGGGAGACTACCTCCATCTTTTCTTTCAGCCTGTTTTTATTAAAAACACTTTTTTTCTCTTTTGAGACAGGGTCTCGCTATGTCACCTGGGCTGGAGCGCAATGGTGTGATCACAGCTCGCCAGAGCCTTGACTTCCCGGGCTCAATCAATCATCCTGCCTCAGCCTCCTGAGCAGCTGGTACCTCAGGTGTGTACCACCACGCCTGGCTAATTTTTTAATTTTTGTAGAGACAGGTTTCGCCATGTTGCCCAGGCTGGTCTAGAACTCCGGGGCTCAAGTGATCTGCCTGCCTCAGCCTCCCAAATGCTGGGATTACAGGTGGGAGCCACTGCACCTGGCTTCTATTCTAATTAAAACTCGTTGTCACCAACTAAATTTATGCTCCTGGCCAGGCACAGTGGCTCATGCCTGTAATCCTAGCACTTTGGAAGGCCAAGGTGGGTGGTTCACTTGAGGTCGGGAGTTCGAGACTAGCCTGGCCAACATGGTGAAACCCCGTCTTTACTGAAAATACAAAATTAGCCGGGCACGGTGGCATGCGCCTGTAACCCCAGCTGCTTGGGAGGCTGAGGCAGGAGAATCACTTGAACCTGGGAGGCAGAGGTTGCAGTGAGCTGAGATCGCGCCGCTGCACTCCAGCCTGGGGGACAATGAGACTCCATCTCAAAAAATTAAAAATAATAAATTTATTATTATTCTGTATTCTGGCAAACACGGATTCATATACTTTGCAGGAAAGACTCTTAATATGTATGAGGAGACGAGCAAATTCTGAGCAGTGATCACAGCCATCAGCATATTCTAGTGGAGGGTAAATCAGTAAAATTTCATGGTGAATAAAAATGATTTTCCCATTCACTGTGTTCAGCTGACTGGAAAGGCTGCCACCAGCCGCCCACACATGGCCCTGAACCAGCCTGTGCGCCTGCCTTGTGGAGCCTTTGTCCTTTTGCCGATGTGGTTTATCCTGAACTTGCATTTGCACCCCAAGCTTCCCTTTCCGTCGTTTTTTGCTATCATATGTGAAAAACTCTTACCAGGCAGAATCCAACACGTGTGCTCTGCACAAAAATCAGTTCATCTGAAGAACAAGTGACCACAGGGCAGTCTCCGTAATCAAACCACAGGACAGGCTCTATAATACCTTTTCCAAACCACAGGACAGGTTGGAAACAGTGGCTTACTCGTTATTTAGTAAACTGGCATTTCCTCCACAAGGCAGGTCTGAAACGGTGACTTACTTGTTATTTAATAAACTGGCATTTCCTCCACAGGGCAGGCTTGAAACGGTGGCTTACTCGTTATTTAATAAACTGGCATTTCCTCCACAGGGCAGGCTTGAAACGGTGGCTTACTCGTTATTTAATAAACTGGCATTTCCTCCACAGGGCAGGCTTGAAACGGTGGCTTACTCGTTATTTAATAAACTGGCATTTCCTCCATAGGGCAGGCTTGAAACGGTGGCTTACTCGTTATTTAATAAACTGGCATTTATTTCCTGGTCATGCCACGCTGGCTGCACTTCTAACCTTGGCCTTCTAACAGCAAAGCACATTGGCTTGGAGATGCCACTGCTGGCATCAGTGGATGCCGACCCAAAGCAAGGAACAGGTCACAGTGATCCAGAAAATGGCGAGAACCCAGGGATCAAAGTTACCAGAGGGAAAAAGGCATTTTTTGGATATACTTTTGGGGAAACGACATAAAATGCAGAGAAAATGCAGGGGTGGGGCTGAGTCCCACCAGGCGGGAGGAAAAGGCAGGTGCAGGTGGGCGTGGCGAGAAGGCGCACCTTGTAGTCTTCCCCGGCGTGCGCGCCCCGTGACTCCTTCCCCGCCTCTGCTCCATTGACGGTCTGCAGCGCACATAGCATCAGGTTCTGCAGCTCCAGGGTCTCCACCAGGTCCGTGTTCCAGACCATTCCTGGGGACACAAAAAGTTCCATCAGGGGCAGGTGGGACCCAGTCACACGGGCCCTCCGAGCTGTCAGCCTGGGCCTGCTAGTCCATGGAGTCACTGGTTGTGGCTTTACAGCTGGGGGCCAGCACCCATCCAGACAGCAAGCATGGAACTAAGTCAGCACTGACGGGACAGACACCAGCCCACCCTGCAGAAGGCAGGGCCCAACAGTGTGCACAGAGCCCACTGTCTGCTCACCCCGGTCAAACGTCTTCAGATGCTTCAGGTCTCCATAGAGCTTGCTGATTTTCCCACAACCTTCTTGCAACAAGCTTCCCACACGGAACACGGCAGCATGATTTTGCGTTGACTGTGGCACAAAATATTATTTGTAAACTTTTAATTCATAGAAGCAGCCATACCAAGAACTGCTTAACTTTTAGACCTGTTGTTTTGCATTTCATTTTATTTATGTAAATTAAACAGAAAAATTAGGAAATTTAGACTATGAGTTTATTACTCTGAACTTAAAAATGAAGTCTTGACTAAAGCTTCTGAATAAATGTTTCTATTATATACATATCTTAGACCCACACACATCCTTTCCAGCGGGATACAGCCAGGGTCCAGGACGCCAAGCAGACTGCCTGTGAGGCACCACGTTCCATACGGCTCCACGGCCAACCAGGCAGCACTGCCTCCCCACACCCCTGGCGGGACTCCTGATGTGGGGTCTGGTGGTGAACGTGACACGAGCCAGCAGCCCTGTGGTGATACACACAAGGAGGAACTGAGCAGAGCCCTGCTGATGGTGGGGTTGGAACCGAAGGTCTTCAAGGAGAGGGAGGGGCGTGGGTGGCTGGGGCCCTTGGCCCATCTGGCTACTGTCTTCTGCCTATTTTGTAGAAGCTCCTTGTACACTGAGTTCCTTCATAGTTTTACTATCACGAGAAACGTGCTAGGAGTGGACCTGAAGTTTACTTAGGTATGCTGGGAACTGGGCATCAGCTTTTGCTTCCTGTGGGACACACAGGCACCACCTCCGTGATCCCTCCTCCTCCTTGCTTCTCCCTCTAACTGTGCTTTGCTCCACTGACCCTAATTGTCTCTTCCTCTACCAATGCACCTTCGTGGTTCAATTTGGACATTTCATCTGATTTTCCTTAGACTCATACATAATCGTAACACTGTAATGCACATCAACCTAATGGTTTTTCAGGAAGAACAAATGAAAAAAATTGCATCTCAGAATCTAGTATTACATTCTTTCATGTCCTTTAGCAGCGACGTTTTCATATCATCTTTTCGTATTTCTGGTTACATTATTTCAAGGCATTTTAAATTTTTTGTTTGAAATGCGAATGAGATATTTACTGATGTCTGAGCAGATTACTGCTGGCACATTGCAAAGCTACTGATTTTTACATACAAATCTCTTATACACATACCTTACTACATTCTTGTTTTGTTTCTGTTAGTTTTTCCGTTTATTCTCTGGAAATTTTTTGGAAATTATATCTGTAAATAATGGCAACTGTATCTATTCCTTTTCAATATTTACTGCCAAGACCAGCTGGGTCATGGAAACCCTAACCCAGTGGCACTAGAGGAAGTAAAGACACACACACAGAAATATAGAGTGTGGAGTGGGAAATCAGGGGTCTCACAGCCTTCAGAGCCAAAAGCCTCAAACAGAGATTTACCCACGTATTTATTGACAGCAAGCCAGTGATAAGACTTACTGAAAGTATTCCTTACAGGAAATAAAGGGATGGGTCTGGCTAGTTATCTGCAGCAGGAGCATGTCCTTAAGGCACAGAGCGCTCATGCTATTGTTTGTGGTTTAAGAAGGTCTTAAGAGGTTTTCCACTCTGGGTGGGCCAGGTGTTCCTTGCCCTCATTACGGTAAACCCATAACCTTCCTGCGTGGTCGTCCTGGCCATCACGAGCACGTCACATGCTGCAGAGATTTTGTTTATGGCCAGTTTTGGGGCCAGTTTATGGCCACATTTGGGGGCCTGTTTCTATCAATTTACCTCATTTCTTTTTTTGATTGTTACTATTAATAGCCAGAGTCAGCAGAAAAATCCCTTCCCCCAACGAAATGCATTTCCGCAAGCATAGGAAGCTCTGTTTGTTCAGTGCTGACTCCGGCACCTCACGGAGCCTGGGATACAGCAGGCACCAAGACACACCTTGTTTGGTGGGAACACTTCTAGTATTCTCACTTCAAACTATCTCAGATTTGCCATTTCTATATCCTAAGGCATGTTCCCATTCTCTAACGCAAGGGTTCCTTCTTTCCCAGCTGGCCTCCAACCCTACAAAAGCACTGCAGGGCATCACTCAGCCTTCTGTGCCTTAGTCACGCTGTTCTTCTCACCGTTCCACAAAACCTCCCTCAAGCCCAGCCTCACCTGAAGACCGAAGGGCACGGGCCTCTGAAAATTGTCAGCAGGGAACCTGTTCTCTTGTGTCTAACACCAAATGCCTTTCAGAATAGGACTAAAGCAGTGGACTTCTTTCTAGAAAATACGCAGAAATTCTTGCAAATAGCAGACAAGAGATCTCATTCATGGACAAGAATCCTTGTTATTAGAGGAATTGAGTTTCTTAGACTGACTATATATCAGGTTCTCCACGGCCCCATGGCTAATGGCTGCCATACTGGACGGCAAACACTCAACATTTCCATCATCACAGACGGTCCTACTGGACCGACTCCCAGCAGCACAGGCCGCACAGATCACTGTCCACCTGCCGCCCACTCTCCCTCTCTGCTGAGTATATTTAGGGGCAGCAACAGGTCTAGCTTAAAGACGTTTCCGAGCTGCTGGAAGCCAGGCATGATGACATGATCAATATCTGGGCCTGAGATGTAAGCACCAGTGTTGTGTTGAACTCCAGGAAACCTCTAAGAGAAAGCTGCCCTGCTGGGGACGGAGCTTCTCCGGCAGTCCTGCGGCTCCCTCTCCTCCACACTGTGACTCATCCATGACAGCCAGCGACGGTCAGGGCACGGAGGTCATGCCCAAGCACACACGAGTGAACCACAGAAGGCTGTCCTGGATGCTAAGCAGTCACTAATTCTGCCCTGGCCTGCTGACCTTCTATGTGGAGAAGAAGTGCACTTCTGGTCTCTTTCATATTCTTGATACAGTGAGGAGTATGTCCTACTGCTGTTTACCTCCACATACTGGTGCAGCCTCGTATGTTTATTGCAGCACTAGTCACAATAGCAAAGTCATGGAATCAACCTAAGTGCCCATCAACGGACGACCGGATAAAGAAAATGTGGTACATATATACCATGAAATACTACTTGGCCATAAAAAAAGAATGCAATCATGTCTTCTGCAGCCAGACGGATGGAATGGGAGGTCACTATCCTAAGTGAGTCAGAAGGTCAAGTGTCACACATTCTCCCTTGGAAGTGGGAGCTGAACGGTGAGTACACATGGACACACGGAGTGGACTAACAGACTGTGGGCTCCAAAAAGCGGGAGGGGTGGGGATGAGCAATTACCTGCTGAGTACAACACACACGACTTGGGTGACAGGTACATGAAAAGCCCAGACTCCACCACCTCCCAGTACATCCACACAAAGCTGCACCTGCATCCCCCTAGATCTGTTTTTAAAAAAACAAAACCAGTGCAGGGCCAGGTATGCAGCCAGCCTGCTCACTCCAGAGCGAGTCCAGGCTCTTACCTTCTGCATGCTGAGTCGCAGTTCCGATGTTCTTATGCTTCTTCCATCAGCAAATCTCAATTTGTCAAGATTCGTGACAGATTCTTCCCCAGCATTTGGTTTAATTGGAGGGACTTTATCTCCTAAAACAACAACAAAAAGAGCTAGAATTTAACTTTTGAAAACCGTTTTAAAAAAACAAATGGATTTAGTACTACACACAAAAATGTAGCATAGCCGCTCAAGGAGCCTGGAAACGGTGTAAGTCTCCTGAGCTAACACACTGCCAACCCACCCTACATCTGAGGCCATCTGTTGAGTTGGGGCCAATTTTAAAGAACAGACATAAAAGGCAAAACTGTTGGCACACAGTAGATATCCATTAAGTGATCTTAGAGTGAATAAACTAGAAATCATCTCTAAAATTAAAAAATTAAAATGTAGGCCAGGTGCAGTGGCTCACGCCTGTAATCCCAGCACTTTAGGAGGCTGAGGTAGGTGAAGCACTTGAGGTCAGGAGTTCAAGAGCAGCCTGGCCAACGTGGCAAAACCTCATTTCTACTAAAAACACAAAAATTATCTGGCATGAGAACTGCTTTAACCCGAAAGGTGGAGGTTGCAGTGAGCCGAGATCGCGCCACTGCACTCCAGCCTGGGCAACAGAGCGAGACCCTGTCTTACAAAAAAAAAAAATTAAATGTATACAGATTTATATACATTAAGTGTATATAAATGTCACTCCACTAACGGGAAAAAATGACACCTTCCAGATGGTGGTCCCAAGGGGCCGGCCGCCCCACTGTCCTTCACATTAGGGGGAGGAAGGTGGCTGCTGTGTGCTTGCAAGTCACCTGCTGATTTGGACTGTTGTGTGCTCTCACCTATACTTCAAGATTTGCAATTTTTTTTTTTTTTTTTTGAGATGGAATTTTGCTCTGTAGCCCAGGCTGGAGTGCAGTGGCACCATCTCGGCTCACTGCAACCTCCACCTCCTGGTTCAAGCAATCCTCCTGCCTCAGACTCTGGAGTAGATGGGACTACAGGAGTTTGCAACCATACCTGGCTAATTTTTGTATTTTCAGTAGAGATGGGGTTTCACCATGTTGGCCAGGCTGGTCTCGAACTCCTGACCTCAGGTGAGCCACCTGCCTCAGCCTCCCAAAGTGCTGGGATCACATGTGTGAGCTGCTGCGCACGGCCAAGATTTGCAACTCTTGTGTTTCCAAGATGTCTTGAAAAAAGTTTTAAAGGTTTTTTTTTTTTATAAAATTATATGTATTTTTTCTTCAATAGGTAACACATGCAGGAGATAGGAGGTATGAAATGCAGGAGTCAAACAGGCCCTGTCCCGCCTACCGCCTCTCCTCGGGACCAGGCTGTGGGTCTCTTGACGGTCTGCTCAAATGCTTCTAGGCTTGCTGGTGTCTCTTTTCCTTTTGTTTATAACGCTTTAAAAATTGATCATCCATTAAAATTGACTTTTTTCTTTCGGTGGACAGTTCTACAGTTTCTTTTTTCTTTTTTTTTTTTGAGACAGTGTCTCCTCCCTCTGTTGCCCAGGCTGGAGTGCAGTGGTGTGATCTCGGCTCACAGCAACCTCCGCCTTCTAGGCTCCAACAATCCTCCCACCTCAGCCTCCCAAGTAGCTGGGACTACCCAAGTGTGAGCCACCATGCCCAGCTAATTTTTGTATTTCTGGTAGAGACGGGGTTTCACCACCTTGCCCAAGCTGGTCTCGAACTCCTGAGCTCAAGCAATCGGCCTGCCTTGGCCTCCCAAAGTGGTGGGATTATAGGTGTGAGCCACTGCACCCGGCCTCAGTTCTACCGATTTTAACACATGGATAGATGCATGTAACCACTTTGGGAGGCTGAGACAGGAGGATCACTTGAGGTCAGGAGTTCAAGACCACCCTGGGCAACACAGGGAGACCCTGTCCCTAGAATACATTTTTAAAAATTAGCCAGATGTGGTGGCGTGCACCTGATCGTACCACTGCACTCAAGCCTGGGTGACAGAGGGAGACTATGTCTAAAAATACACATATATATATTTTTGGGGGGGTCGGGGGTTGGGGGAGAAGTAGGGATGCTACAAGCATTTTTTCTTTCCTTTTCATTTTTAAAAATTAAAGCGTAAAGATACAGTAAAATAAACTCATCATTTTTAATGTAGGTTTTTCAAACTTTGACACACACAGAGCTGTGTCTGTAAGCCTCAGCACAATCAGGAAACAGCCTCTGGCAACCACCAATCCCTTTTCTTCCCTAGATGTGCCTTGTCCAGAATGTCCTATCAACAGGACCACAGGCGTGCAGCCTTTTGAGTCCGACTCCACAGCATTCTGCGTGAGATGCTGCATGTGTGAGCGGTTTCTCAGATGTCAAGTATAGGGTATTCTCACAAAATGTTCTTTTCTGCATTTTCAAAGAAAGAGAAGCTCAAAATTTCTACACTGCTCTGAGAGAAGTGGTATCAGACCTCACTGCGACAAAGTGCAGGGCTATGGAGTGAGACAAGCACAACCTGTGGCGTCAGGAGCGAGGCACCTGAACTCCGCCTTCGCCGATGATCAGCAACGGCTGGGGATGAGACGCCGGCTCTGCATGTGCTGGCCTCCTGAGCTGTCGTCAGATCCACAGAGACACAGTGTCTGAAGTAGCTACCCTTTTAATACTGCCTGTACCTTTCTAACTACAGATAGAAAAGGGTCATGTTTATAAGGTACGGCGGTGCTAGTTTTTATTTCACTTGAGTCCATACAAAAAGCAAAAAGCGCCTGTTCTATAAAAACAGCAGAAATGATGCTAAACAGTTAACACCAGAGAAAGCTAACGGGAAGAACGTGGGCCTGGGGTCCCACCATCCTTGCCACGCAAACATCCACCAGTGCCTCATCCACCTCACACTGTTCTGAGCACACGAGGCTGCATGACCACCGTGAGGATCTCTGGAGGTGGGAACGATGCTAACTGTCCTGTTCTTCGTGCACATAAGACTCACACTCCCACACACGGTATTCCTTTTCCTGCACATTATTTGACGCTATCCTGAAAAGAAAACCAGCAAGTGAAATCGAATCTGTCCGTAGAGGGTGGGAATCCTGTTCACTCTAAGTCAGCCCTTCTCCTCTAATAGAGGTTAGTTGTACTTTTAGAATGGCCTAAATTATTTTTCTAAGTACCAAGAAGTTACATATTCATTCATGCCAACTATTTTAAATATTTCATTGCAAATAAGTGATTTTTATCAGGCAAGTAATACGTAATGAACTTCCCCTAAAAATAACAGCTTCCTAATAGTGCTTTTTCTAAACAGAAAATAATGACTGCAAAATAATTTAAAAAAAAAAAATGTAACCCCAAAAATGTCACCTTAACTGTTAAGATCCCCAACCAGCCTCTATCTAGTCTCAACATTACCACCATATAATCTCTGGATTTCTCAGTTTAATCACTTCTAGGGGAAAAAACCCAGACTACCTCTATATGCTCACTACGCAAATTTCCAGTAAGAAATCAAGGCTTTGTAACCTGGCTGGGTGCAGTGGCTCATGCCTGTAATCCCAATACTTTGGAAAGCTGAGGCAGAAGACTGTTTGAGTCTAGGAGTTCAAGACCAGCCTGGGCAATATTGTGAGACCCTGTCTCTACCAAAAAAAATTTTTTTAAATTAGCCAGGTGTGGTGGTGCACATCTGTAGTCCCAGCTACTTGGGACTCTGAAGGTTGAGGTGTTGAGGACTGCTTGAGCTCGGGAGGTTGAGGCTGCTATGACTGTGCCACTGCACTCCAGCCTGGGCTGACCCTGTCTCAAAAAAAAAGAAAAAAGACTAACCTCCTGCGCCTTCTCAAATAGTCTGGGTCCTGAAGAAAACACTTACCAGGCCTGCACGACTCTGCGATGCTCAGGGCACATGCCTGACCAGACAACCAGGTCCAACAGCGAGTTTGCCCCGAGGCGGTTGACACCATGTGCAGAGGCACAGGCGGCCTCCCCACAGGCGTACAGGCTGGGCACAATCTGATCCTGGCCATTCCCGTGCCTCAGGACCTGTGGAAAGGAAGATTTCAGGTGAAATGTCAAGATGCCCATTCCTCCACAAGCCCACCTCCCTCAACAGGGTGTCTGTGCTGCAGGTCAGAGAAAGAGAGGGAAGTAGGTCGGGCATGCAGTGGCTCACGCTTGTAATCCCAGCACTTTGGGAGGCTGAGGCGGGTGGATCACCTGAGTTCAGGGGTTCGAGACCTGTCTGGCTAACATGGTGAAACCCCGTCTCAACTAAAAATATAAAAATTAGCCAGGCATGATGGCAGGTGCCTGTAATCCCAGCTACTCGGGAGGCTGAGGCAGAAGAATCGCTTGAACCTGGGAGGCGGAGGTTGCAGTGAGCCGAGATCGCGCCATTGCACTCCAGCCTAAGCGACAGAGCGAGTCTCCATCTCCAAGAAACAAAGAGAGGGAAGTAAAGACCATATCTAAGAAGGAAGTAAGGACCATAGCTACTCTTCTTCAGAAGGAAACTTCCGAATGTATACCCCAGTTTCCCCTCTGCCCCTGAGCACCTGCTGTTACAAGCAGGTCAGAGGGCCTCCAATGTCAGCATCTGCGACTGTCCCCCGTGTCCCATGTTCCCGAGGCCCTCACCACCTGTGCTCCAGCTCAGACCCAGGAGCACGGCAGGTGGAGGAACATCAGCAGGGGAGACTGATGTTCCAGACTCTTCTACCCCCTGTTCACCTCTTCATCTATGCGGGGAAAGTAACAGCTTCCACCCACCTCGCCCAACAAGGAGGCTAAGTGACTGACAAGCTCTGTGTGAACCGCAAACCACTCACAGGTATGAATTATAAAGATCCTTCGATGTACAAGATCATTAGAAATAGGAATTATAAAGATCCCTTGATGTATAAGCTCATTAGAAATAACACAAGATCATATAGGAAAGTAATTATAAAATGGGAAAAGCTGCAAATGATGTATCTATGACAGTTTACTAAGGAGGAATAAATTATTAAGCCTCCTTCCATCCTCCAGTGATAGAAATTTCAAGTGCAATTTAGCAAACAATACAGTACTTTCTGGAAGGAAACATCTGTCTCTTCCTCTAAGATCTAAAGAGACAACTGCGAGATGGGCCCCATTGTCCCAGCCTTCTTTCCAGCTGTGGGAGAGAAGCCAGCACCATCACCTGCCCCTCGTAGCTGGTGGGAATGCCGTCCATGTTATAATGCACGGTGGGGAGGACAGGGATCGGCTCCTTCGTGACGTCCACACCAGCGAAGATCATGGCTGTCTCTGAAATGCCGGGCAAGGGCATGGCCAGCTGCTCTGGAGGTAGGTGGTGCAGCTGCAGGTAGACGTGATCTTTCTCAGGGCCACAGCCTCTGGTAAGACAGAACACCATCACATAAGGCAGAGAATGGCAACGGCAGCAGACCTGAGAATACGTCATCTTGGAAGCGTGTGAGTTTCAACATGTTTTGATACTGAGGAAAATTTCCCCTCATGTACGGCCACCCTCTCATCAAATCTTTTCTAAGCATCTACTGTATGCCAGGGACAATCCCAGGTGCTGGGACACAGCTGAGAACCAGAACAAAAACTCTGCCCTTACTGAACTCACACTCGTCTCAGGGATCACAGCCTGCAGCGGCTGTCCTTGGTAAAAGCATTAGGCCTCTATGCCAAATAGTCGTCCCTGCGTATCCGTGGCAGGTTGGGTCCAGGACCCCCACGGACACCAAAATCCGTGGATGCTCAAGTCCCTAATATAAAATGGCAGAGTATTTGCATATAACCTATGCACATCCTCCTCCATATTTTAAATCATCCTCATTTCAAGTTTTACATTTAAGTTGTACAGCAACTCCAGGATTACTCATAGTACCTAATACAATGTAAATGCTAGGTAAATAGCTGCTACACTGTGTTGCTTAGCGAACAATGACAAGGAAAAAAAAAAGTCTGCGTGTTTGTAAGGATGCAATTTTATTTTCAGTACATAGTTGGTTGAAACCACACATGTGGAACCGATGGATACGGAGGGCCACCATATTACAAGAAACCATCCGACTTCTTTTTTTTTTAATATAAAAATGTAAAACCTCTAAAGGCCACACCAGATACCAGCAGATATTTAGCAAGTGTTATCACATTAAAGAACAGGGTCAGGCAATGAAAGAGCTGCAAACTGTTCTTCTGAAAGGCAAATGACCCACACACTTTGAAAGCTGCCGAAAAACATCTGTGGGTATCAGACACCACACCCAAGGCTCACACGCCGACTTCAGGTTGGGTGCGTGTCTCTCTCTCCCATACTCCGTCACATACTCACACACACTAAGAGAAACTCTGTTCCACAGATTTGAGAAAGAAACTGGCTAAAATTTTCAAAATGTAGGTCTTTAGGAAAATATCGCAGACTAACAGACGCCTGCCGGCAGCTGAGAGAGGTGGCTGTGCACATGTGCCTGCACACGAAGGTGAGGGCGAGCGGTGCTGAAACTCACAGAAGCAACCCCGGCCCGTGTGCCCGCTCAGACAGTGCTGGTGGTAAACCACACGCACCTTCCTTCGCGGATCTCCAGAGTCATCCACCGAGACACCACATCTCTAGACGCCAGGTCCTTCGCGATGGGGGCGTATCGCTCCATAAACCTTTCGCCTTGACTGTTAATGAGAATGCCTCCCTCTCCACGACATCCTTCCGTAATGAGACAACCAGCACCATATGTGCCTGCAAAAAACCACACATTTATAACCTAACAATTGCTAGGTCTCTATTTCAAATGCATTACTTTTTTTTACAAGATATTTTTTGGGGGAGAGACAAAAAAGATATGCAGAAGGCATTATATGCAAAACTGAACAGAAAGAACAGTTAAGATACAGTAGAAAGTCTGGATAACAAAAAGCACTGACAAGGCTGACAGCTGCAGCAGAGGCTGGGGCAGAGTGGCGTCCCCAGAGAGGAGAAAGGCCGGCCCACAGACCTCTGGCCAATACTCTGATTACAGCCCGGTGTACGTTGGATGCCTCAAATTTTGTTTTAATTTTTGAACATTCTTTTGCACTATGATACTGTGGTGACTAGTTAAGAATACTAGCTTGGAGAATTCATATCTAAGTTACCCAAACAGTGGCAAGAACAGTAATAATGATTATTTTAGTTCATCTTTACACTGCACTTGCTATGGGCAGTTCTAGCTGCTTTCCACATATTAAACTCATTTAAGTCTTACAACAACTCTGGGTAGTATGACCCCCTTTCTCAGTGACAAGCAAATTAACGCTTGGTAACATCCAGTCATGCAGCTGAGGACAGAGCTCAAACCCAAACCTGGGCAGTCCGGCGGTCTGTGCCCCAAACAGCGGCTCTGTGACTCCTCAGTGCGATGAGAAACAGGGCGT
Source organism: Homo sapiens (assembly GCF_000001405.40). Taxonomy (NCBI): domain Eukaryota; kingdom Metazoa; phylum Chordata; class Mammalia; order Primates; family Hominidae; genus Homo; species Homo sapiens. The sequence continues at coordinate 123,217 of NT_187690.1, forward strand.
GCCAAGCTCTCGAATTTTAACAAAGGAGATCAAAAACCCTAAACTAAATGTATTTCAAAAGCTACAATTTTTATTAGTATACAAAAAGGGCAATCTTGCTTTCAAGACAAGAATGTGATTCTTGCATCTCACCTGCCTTTTGATTTTCTAAGTTTCCATGCTCTTTTTTCTGTGGTTACTTCTCACATATTGAAGACAAAGCATGAGAAGTGGAGCTCTAAGCAAATTACAGAGGGAATTCAGGGGCTCACTGACATTTTGCTGATTAAAAACAGTAATAAAAAATACAACAGGCCGGGTGCAGTGGCTCATGGCTATAATGCCAGCACCCTGAGGGGCCGAGGCAGGAGGATCGCCTAAGCCCTGGCGTTTGAGACCAGCCTGGGCTTAAAATGGTGACACCCTGTCTCTACCAAAAACAAAAAAACCCTCAAAAATTAGCTGGGCATGGTAACACATGCCTGTAGTCCCAGCTATTTGGGAGGCTGAGGTGCAAGGATCGTTTGAGCCTGGGAGACAAAGGCTGCAGTGAGTCAAGATTGCTCCACTGCACTCCAGCCTGGGCAACAGAGCAAGACCCCATCTCTAAACAAATTAAAAAAAAAACCTACAACAAATCCATTTCTTATTTTCATCCCTTCCAGGGATCAGAAAGCTGACACTGACAGAGAAAGAGAAGACACAGGTCTGGTTCTTTGGCACCACTTCAGGGGTCTCCATCGTCCACAGGTCAGAAAAGCAACCCAGAAAAGTCCAGGACGAGTCACCTCAAACAAGAGGCAGACGTGTGTGTGTCTGTCTCTGACTCATTTTGAAGAACCTCCTCCAAACTCAAGACTTCAACTGTCATTTCTGAGTTAATGTCTCCAAATTGCACATTCGTAACCTCAACCGTCAGACGTCCCCAAGACGAGCTCATCTTCCCCACGACAAGCTCCCTCAGTGGTCACGTGGGCTGAGCCCAGCGCCCAACGTCACATGGGGTTCTCTCATGGCTGTGTCTTAACTTTACATCCCATTGTCACGGAAGCTCTGTGTTGTCCTACAAAGCTGAAATCTGCCTGTGCTGCTTCTTGGTTCCACGGCATTCACCCAGCTCTCAGAATGCTCACTCAGTAAACCCCGATGGAGACCCTACCATGTGCTGGGCGTGGAGCACCCCAGTTAATGAGAAGACCTGCCTGCCCGAGTTGCTGACAACCTCACTGCAAAGAGGGACACTGAACAATTCCTGCTTTACTTTTTTTTTTTTTTTTTTTGAGACGAAGTCTTACTCTGTTGCCCAGGCTGGAGCGCAGTGGTGCGATCTCGGCTCACTGCAACCTCTGCCTCCCAGGTTCAAGCATTCCTCCCGCCTCAGCCTCCCAAGTAGCTGGGATCACAGGTGCATGCCACCATGCCCAGCTGATTTTTTTATGTTTAGTAGAGATGAGGTTTCACCATGTTGTGCAGGCTGGTCTTGAACTCCTGACCTCAGGTGATCCACCTGCCTTGGCCTCCCAAAGTGCTGGGATTACAGGTGTGAGCCACCATGCCCGGCCTCAATCCCTGCTTTACTGCTGGCATAAGTATCACCAAGGCAGGGTTTAGGGCTCTTGAGAAATGCATAAGATGGTGGCCCAAACTGCCTTAGGGGAAGGGGAGTGTGGGAAAAGTCTCCTTAAGGAAATGACATTGAAGTTAGGACCTGAGAGCTATGGAAGCTGATCTTCAAAACCATGTTATTACATAAAACTATGGAAGAGCAATGAGTAGGCACCACACGCTTACAAGACACACGAGCCGAACGCCTTCCGGGCAAGGCGTCCTGCCCTACCTGTGGGGTGGAACTGAACAAACTCGAGGTCCTGGCAAGGAAGGCCTGCCCTGGTGATCATGGCCGTGCCGTCGCTGGTGCTGGTGTGGGCAGACGTGCAGCTCAAGTAGGTGCGCCCGTAGCCTATGGAAACAACAGAGAGCAGTGACTGCACACAGTGGCCCACGTCCGGACCTCCTGTCTAATGAGATCACAGAACGGACAGGGCAGCCCCCGGGCACCATCTTCTCAGTGCTGTGTGCACACAACCCCCTACTCACGCACACCCCACACACATCACTGGGGGCCACGCCAGTGGTGCTGCTACCCTGCGCAGGTAGGATAGAAGCCTGGGATCAGAGAAGAGACTTCCATTTATATTTTATTTATTTATTTATTTATTTTGAGATAGGGTCTAACTCTTGTCGCCCAGGCTGGAGTACGGTGGCACAATCTCGGCTCACGGCAACCTCTGGCTCCCAAGTTCAAGTGATTCTTCTGCCTCAGCCTCCCAAGTACCTGGGAATACAGGTGTGCACCACCACATCCAATTGATTTTTGTATTTTTAGTAGAGACTGGGTTTCGCCACGTTGGCCACGCTGGTCTTGAACTCCTGACCTCAGGTGATCCACCCACTTCGGCCTCCCAAAGTGCTGGGATTACAGGCATGAGCCACTATGCGTCTGGCCCTATTTGTATTTTAGATTTGTGCTGTTCAAAAGGTTTCCCCAGTAAGCATATACTACTTTTATAATGAAAATTTTAAAATTTTTATGGATTTTGTTTTTTTCCCCCAGATTTACTGAGGTATGATTGATGAATTAAACAAAAAACAATACTGTATATATTTAAGGTGTACAGCGTGATGATTTATTTTGTGAACTGATGACACAATCAACTTAATACACATCTATCACCTCATACAATTATCCTTTTTTTTGGAGATACAGACACCTAAGGTCTACTCTCTTCGCAAATTTCAAGTTATATTAATGATAGCCACCGTACTGTATGATTTTAACTGTAGCCACCATGCTGTATAATGTTAACTCTGGCCACCATGCTCTATAACATTAACTCTAGCCACCATGCTGTTTATCAGACCTTCAGAACTTCACCTTGTGACGGGAAGTTACACCTTTAATCAGCATCGCCACAGTCTGCATTCCCCCAGCCCCTGGCAACCACTGTCCTATTCTGTTTCTGTGAGTTGTGACAGTTTTAGATCCACATATGAGTGACATGCAGTATCTGTCTTTCTGTGCCTGGGTCGTTTCACTTAACATAATGACTTTGGGTTCATCCACGTTGTCACACATGACAGGATTTCCTTCGTTTTCATAGCTGAATAATATTCAGTTGTGTACACACACCACATTGTCATTAAACACCAAAAATTTTTAGGTTGTTTCCATATCTCGGGTATTGTGAATAACGCTGCAATGAACATGGGGGTCCAGGTGTCTCTTTGAGCTTCTGATTTCATGCCCTTTGGATATACACCCAGAAATGAGGTTGCTGGAGCACATGGTAGTCCTGTGACTTTTGAGGAACCTCCAGAGTTTTCCACAATAGTTGTACTAATTTACATTCCCACCAACAGCACACAGGGTTCCCTTTTCTCCACATCCTCATCAACACTCACTATCTTTTGTCCTCTTGGTAACAGCCATTCTAACTGGAGCGAGATGAGATGATACTCATTGGGGTTTTAATTTGCATTTCTCTGGTGCTTGGTGATGTTGAGCATTTTTTCATACATCAACTGGCCATTTGTATGTCTTCTCTGGAAAAATATCTATTCAAGTCCTTTGCCCATTTTTAGTAGGGTTGTTTTTTAGTAGGGTTTAGTAGGTTGGTTTTAGTAGGGCTTTTTTTTATTTTTTATTTTTTTTTGCTATTTTAGATACTAAGATATCATTAGATATATGGTTTGGAAAATATTTTTTCCCACCCTGTAGTTTTGCTGATTTTTTTTCTTGGCTGTACTGACACTTCTTAACTTTTAAAGTGGCTAAAGTAACTGCCACTGTATAAAATTAAAGTTTTTTATTTTCATTATGTGGAGAAGACAGACTTATCTATCCCAGGAATCAGTATAAACATAGAACCCACTAAAACAAGAGGGATTTTGCCAGAAAACCCCATGTGACTCTTCGGGCCACAGTTTCCTCATCTAAAATCGGGAGAGGTACGCTGTGAACCTGACGGCAGCCACTACCGACTAATGAGGGCCATGCTTTCTCACCCCGAGGCAGGTGCTGCTGTCCTCACCCTTTACAGGTGAGGAACCATGGCTGGGAAAGGCCATCACCCTCACGTGGTTATATCAAGGCCTGTGTCTGAACTGCTATTCTACAATGCCTCTATTTTCCTTAAAATAAAGAGACTCTAAATGAAATTTATTCATTTTTACAAAGGAAATAAAGTAGAAATTAGATTCCTACCCTGTGGCAACAATAGTATTCTTTGCTCTTATGCGATGGATGGACCCGTCCTGTATGCACAGTGCGAAGACACCACGGCACTCCCCATTCTCCATCAGGAGATCCAAGGCAAAATACTCCACAAAACAGCTGGTATCATATCGCAGAGACTAAAAGAAAGAAAAAAAAAGGGCAAGAAGTGTTAAGCCAACCTTTAAGGTTTTAAGGTGATATCTGCTCATGTGAATAGGTGAAAGAACTTGATCCAAATGGACCAGGTAAATCCAAGGAGATCAGCAACAGTGTCAATGACACTGTCAGAGCCCGAGAGGCATTCCACGCCCAGCAGTACCAACAAGGCAGGTGTGCTAGAGAACGCAGCAGCAACAGCTCCTATGTTGGTGACACATTTCCTACTTCTACACAACCCGAAGAGGCACTCCACACTGTCCGGTGGCCGCATGCAGCTCCACTCGGAGTCTGGTGCCAGAGTGAGATCCGCAGACCATGGGGTCACAGCCCAGATGGGAGCTACTGGCAACACATAACCACTTAATTAATTAAAATAAGTCAAAACGTTCAGCTCTTCAGCTACACCTGCCACATTAGCAACAGCCCCATGTGGCTGGCAGCTACCAAAGCGGACGGTTGCAGACGAGCAGATTCCGGCACCGCAGAAAGGTAGGCGCCGGACAGCGCTGCCCGCCTGGACCTGCCGTTCCCTCAGCCAGCGCAAGTCGCTCTCGTGAGCCTGGGCCAGCTCCCCACATGACAGCTCCTGCTCCGGAAGGAGCCGCCGTCTCCTCCCACCACACACTTGTCGATGCACTCAGCCACAGAGAAGTCACTGGTGTTCTAACAACCTGCACATTACTGATCCGTCCCCATGCATCAGAAAACAACAAAGCTCAGAACATGGATTACTCTGAATCAATACTGTTCAGGATATTGTTTGGTCATGCCAAAGTTGACCCTGATTACCCAGTAACTATTGTCACCTCAAGTCTTTGTCCAGTGATAACAGTTAATATGAAAACAATCCATGGCCGGGTGTGGTGGCTCACACCTGTAATCCCAGCACTTTGGGAGGCCGAGGCAGGTGGACTGCCTGAGCTCAGGAGTTCGGGAGCAGCCTGGGCAACATGGGAAACCCTGTCTCTACTAAAATACAAAACATCAGCAAGGCGTGGCGGCGTGCACCTGTAGTCCCAGCTACTCTGGAGGCTGAGGCAGGAGAATCGCTTGAACCCGGGAGGCAGAGGTTGCAGTGAGCAGAGATCGCGCCACTGCACTCCAGCCTGGGTGAGAGTGAGACTCCGTCTCAAAAACAAAGCAAAACAAAACAAACAAACCAAACCAATCCATTCAGGAACTCAGAGGTGGTAAAAGAGCCTTAAAATACTTGTTCTTTGTCTTTTTTTGAGACAGGTCTCCTGTTGCTCAGGCTGGAGTGCAGTGGTATGAACATGGCTCACTGTCTCAAGTGATCCTCCTGCCTCAGCCTCCTGAGTAACTGGGATTACAAGCATGTACCACCATGCTCAGCTACTTTTTAAACTTTCTGTAGAGACAGGGTCTCACTATGTTCTCCAGACTGGTCTCAAACTTCTGGTCTCAAGTGATCCTCCTGCCTTGGCCTCCTAAAGTGCTGGGATTACAGACGTGGGCCACTGTGCCTGGCCTGCTTGCTCTGTTCTTACATGCTGAGTGTCACATATCCCAAGTGAAAACCTGGTATATAAGATTATCAATTCAACTTCCCAACATAGAGGCAACAACTCACACATTGCCTTAGGGGCAGCTTCTCAAGGCACACGCCTGCTCCTGTCACATCCACAGTCGCTGCATGTGCCCCACACGGCTGTTCTCTGTTGCTTTTTACGCAATCTCTGGCTGACTCACTGGGCACGCTAACCCATTCCCCGCTGTCACCACAAGCCCCAGCACTATGTGTCCTGTCTCAGGTGGACGGGGGGCAGCCTTACCCTCCCATATAAGGTGTGCAATATTGAGTGGCCGGTCCGATCAGCCACACAGCAGCACCGATGGGCCTGCCTGCCCTTTCCAAACTTGAGGCTGTGTCCGCCAAATGCACGCTGATAAATCTTCCCATCTTCAGTTCTGCTAAACGGCATGCCATAATTTTCTACCTGTGAAAGATAAAAACAAACAAAAGCCTTATTACCCTAAAGGAGTCAAGATATTCACAGCTAATCTACACTAAACAACTTTAATACAAATCTGCAAACCCAAATTAACCTATTTTATGAAAATGTCAACACTTCATCAAAGAGAAGTTTTTCTTATTACATGTAATACATAGTTCATGATGGACAAAGACTTCTCTTGTGAGCTTTGCTAATCACCATTCTTTCGGCTGCCACATCTGCCTCAACTGCTTACATTTTTTCCAGGACTCTTGTACTGGAAACAGACCACCAGAGCACCCAGAGCCTCCCGCCCATCACCTCGACCATGGCAGTGGGGGCCTGCTCCGTCACGTAGTGGATGGCATCCTGGTCCCCCAGCCAGTCGGAGCCCTTCACGGTGTCATAGAAATGCCACCTCCAGTTGTCCTCCTCCATGTTCCCCAGAGCAGCATTGATTCCAACCTGGAAACACCAACCACTCCTTACAAGCCACAAACAGGAGCCCCAGCTTTGTCTTCCAGGCCCAAATCCACCCGCTGGGGGATTCAGAGAAAGCCAGCTACTCACATGGTGACTCCCAGTGAGGGCTGACCTCAGCAGAGGAGCAGCCAGGCCTGACAGATTCCAGATCACAACCCCTCCCAGACTCACCCAGTGATTCCATCCCTTAGCCTCAGTCTCCTCATCTGTGTGGTGGAGACAGAGGGAACTCCAGGAAGGGCTGACTGGAGCAGTGAGTGAAAGGCTACCTGTAATATGCTTATTACCTAACGTATCTGGCACAGAAAAGGTACTCCATGAATCTCTCCGCATAATTTTATTAACAAATCTTCCCAACGGCATTTACGGGCATGTGTTAAAGATTAGAAGTGCTTCCTGCCAAGTAATAAACTCCATACTCAGAGTCGCACTCCCCTGTACCCCTACTTCCTTTGGCTGTGTGTGCCCACCACCGTCTTACCCCTCAGAGAGTCCCAGAAGACAGCAGCACCAGGGACAAATGAAACCCTTGCCCTTTTCTTCCCCAACCTAAATTCTGAATCCTCCTCTTTAGATGATCTCCTTTTCTTAAGGTGTTGGGGTGGCAGGGGTGGGTGGGGAGGGTAGATGGTCAGAGAAAACCCAAGTGTGACTGGAGTCTGAATTAAGAGTGACAACAAGGCTCCCGCCCTTCAAAGTCCCCAGGGAAGAGGCTCCAGGGAGAGACCCCTGAATGGGTGAGCTGAGTAAGGCACAGCAAGAGGCCAAGTGGCTGGAGCACAGGGAGGAGGCAGGAGGCTGCCCAGGTAGAAAGTGCGAGGCTGCGCGGGACCTGCACGGAGTGGGAGCACAGTGGGGCACCTTTCTCTTACCTGCGCTGCAACAGTGTGTGACCTGGTAGGAAACAGCTTGGTAACACATGCTGTATCAAACTCTGCCTCGGAAAGGCCAAATGCAGCTCGCAAAGCCTGCCCCTCCAGCGCCTACCACCACTGCATCAAATTCATGATCCACTACTGGATACTGAGCAGAAATCTGGAAAAGAAAAATTCACCTGTCAAGCACAGGTTCCACTATGCCAAACATGAAGACTCTTGTGCCAGTGAAAGAGCTTGACAAAGATAAAAGGAGCAACTGCTGGGCACACAGGGCCTCCATCCTGTCCTGGGGCTGAGCCCTGAACAGTGCAGGGAGAAGTAGGCACATTCGCACCTGGAGAAGGGACTGATAATCAGATTCTATGAATGGTAGAGGGTCTATTCCATGGGATCAGACTGAGGACCACAACTCTACTTCAGGGCCGTGCCTATGCTTATGCCTGAGAAGGTACCAAGGAGCATTCAGTCGCTATTGTGAGCTTATGAGAAAAGAACTTCTCAGCACGTTTCAGTTTTCCAACAGAGAGAGAACAGGCACACTCAATACCAAGGAACCCACACCGGAAGGGCCCCACGGTCCTCTTTTCAGTAGGATTTTATCATCTATCACAGCAGATACTGTTCATTTTAATTTATTGCTTTACTTGACCTAAATTTAAATCTAATTTATAGATACATAACAGATACAAGTAAAAATGTTAACATCTATGTTTATATTGGTACTTGCAATTAAGTATTATTACACTGAAAATAATTTCAGCATGCATTGGATACCTATGAGAAATTTTTCCCTTATGTCTATGACTCATATGAAAACAAACTGGTATAGATCCTTACCCCCAAGCCAAAAAAATCATTTATAATGGAACAAAAAGCATGAACTTACGGAATCTGAAACTTTAGCAGATGCCCTCTCGTTCCTTCAACAGTGAAGTGAACACCTCGGGTTCCTGTTTGCAACACTGTTGGCCACTGGAGACACAGAAGACACAGATCCAGAGGGTTAGTGTCCTGAAGGAACAAATGCTGTGGGGGATAGTAATTCAAACTTCCCCTTGAAAACTGTTCACCTTCTTATGTACCCAGGTGCTCCTGTGCATCCAGAGAGCTCAGCTGGGACCCTCTATTTAACCCTGAAGGGCAGCCCAAGGGGCAAGGAAGGACTGAGCCCCCAGGTCCTCCTTTCCACCCTGACTTGGCACTCTAGAAAACCAGGATGAAGCTTGTTTCCAAAAAGGATACTCACTGACTCAGATACGAGATGAAAAAGACGCACTTCCTCTGGGAAGTCTTCACTTATGCTACTTAGTGGAGGAGGGGAAAGACATCCAGATCGTATTACTGTATGTGGTATTTTGCAAATAATGAAGCATTTTAACCGGCTCCATCAGAGCCCTTTCCACATTACAGTTCCAATCGTCCAGGAGGGCTTGCGGTCAGTTCAAAAGGCACTGGACACCTGAATCAGGAGATCTGTATCCTGGAACAGTAAAGGCTGACAGCCCAGAGGGAAGAGGTGTCATCCCTTCATCACACAGGAGGATGTCGGATGCACACTCTCCCCTGCCTGGTTGATGCTGGCTTTTTCCTGGCCAACGTCTACAACTTGACATATCTCACTGCTTAAATTTTCCATCTTAGAAACCTTTACTCAAGAAAACTGGTTTTAGTGTTTAGTTTTTAGTGGCTCTGTGTGAGAGAGGTCACACTGTCCCATATGCTAAGGTTGGCCAGCCATTTAGGGGATACGTTTTCCATTCTGCTGGCGGCATTTTAGAAGACCACTGAATAGTCTCAGAAATATCATCAAGAATAGTTTTAGGGGCTGGGCGTGGTGGCTCATGCCTGTAATCCCAGCATTTTGGGAGGCCAAGGTGGGCAGATCACCTGAAGTCAGGAGTTCGAGACCAGTCTGGCCAACATGGCAAAACCCCCTCTCTACTAAAAATTAGCTGGTCGTGGTGGCGGGCACCTGTAATCCCAGCTACTTGGGAAGCTGAGGCAGGAGAATCGCTTGAACCCAGGAGGCAGAGGTTGCAGTGAGCCGAGACTGTGCCACTGTACTCCGGCCTGGGCGACAGAGCGAGACAATGTCTCCAAAAAAACAAAAGAAAAAAAAAAGCTTTAGGAAATTATGCACTCAGCAATCAGAAGAGGGGATGTGAGGGATGTCTTCAAGTATTTAGAAATACTTGCAATTCACAAATTACTTATTATGTGGGATAAAAAATTATTCTTCATTTCTCCAATTTCTAGTCTGTTTTTATTGACATAAGCTAATTTAGTTTTTTCTTTTTTCAGAAAATGAGAAAGAACGAATATTCTTCTACCTTAGTATAATTTTTTACATGGTAAAATCATATTTTAAGAAAGAAGTCTTTGAAATAATTTTAATAAAAACGTTCTTGAAAATTTTGTAAAGTGCCCTATTAACATAGGTAATAGCACCAATAAAAACAGTACATTATACCAAATGTAAGTAGAAACAGTGAGATCACTAAATGTTTATTCGTTCTTTCTAGGATGTTGATGTGGAATACACACTGCCCACTCCCCACCACACACACACACAGCTGCCTTAAAAGGGGCAGCTACTATAACACAATCTTGAACAAATCATCACGCCATCCCCCTGGGGAAAAGGACACTAACCCTCTGCATCTAAATCTCATCTGGGGCAGATTTTTGAATCTGGAAAGCCCAACTTCAAGCCAATGTCAGTCTTTAGATAAAACTCAAAACTACTTTTGACACAAAACTAGTCTTTTGTGCCAATTATTAATTTTTTAGGAGAAACTATCAAACATTTCCTCTAAGAAAAAACATGGGGAACATATAACTAAAAGGAATACTTAGACCTTGCTTAACAATACAGAATTTCAGATGACTGAATCAGGAGGTGGAGGGGGAAAAGTAACAAGTGCAGAGACATTCATATCCGAAATCTAGCAAAGTAAGGGGTCCTCATCGAATAAAATGCACCTATAAATCATGAGCAAGAAACGAATCTGCATGTACAGCCTACACAATCACAAAAGCAGCCAACGAAGAACCCAAAAACGCACGACTTTCTGTAGGAAAAGCTACCTTCATCAAGATAAAAAGACTTTTACAAAACCCAAGACTAAATTTTGGTTCCATTTTGCTATCTTGCCATCTGGTCTGAGGTGCCTGGGGCCTTAGTCTGCAGAAGGAACACTGGGCACCATCTGGGTTGGGGACAAAGGCACTGGCTCTATCTAGCTTCTCTCCAACCACAAGCTACCATTGCCCCTAAAAAGTCCCACTGACCATGGGCTTCACCTCCTGCTTGTGGACGCCCTCCCAGCAGCTCCTAAGAGCCCAAGATGCGGCGGGGGTCTCTGCTCAGTCAGCACCAACCACAGCAACACGCTAGAACGGTTTACACGCTTTCCGATGTTGACAGGATGGCTGTATGACTAATCCTCACATTTAATTCAAAGAGATTTTCAATAACTATTTCAAAAAGGAGAAAATTGCACAATCACAGGCATAATTCAAATCAATATTGCTGAATGCCTTGGTTCCTCTATTGAGATTTTTACTCTGCAATTTAAAATTACTTTGTAATTAAGAGGTGGGTGGCTAAGTTCATTTAAAAGAACCAAACAACTAAACCTATCCAATTTCGCTTGATTAAATGAAATCCTAGAAGGCCGATTCTGAAGATGCAATCGTAGAGGGCACATTCAGACACTCAGAGAGCAAGGGCTCAGGGAAGTATAACCCTGACCATCATCCTGGACTAAGCCGAGCCCGGCCCTCGAGGTACTCAGCGCACAGGCAAGCACAGGTCCTGGAGTCCTCGCTCGGTCAGTGCCCTGAGCTCTCCGTCTGATTTTTAAAAACTGGCACAGCTGCTTTTAAACACCGGCACATTTTTGTGGCACAAGGGCCACCAAACGGGACCCAAAGTACAGGTCCTTAACTTCCAAGATCCCGAAGTGGACATGCACAGATTTGCGCTCTCTGGAAAGGGGAACTGCAAGCCCAAGCTCGGGCGCGCCGCGCTTCCCACCGGACACCCACCCGGCCGAGCCCGGCCACTCCTCGCACCCACCCAGGCGGTTTCACCCGCCCCGCCGGCCCCACCCACGGGCTGCGGGCGGCCCCGCAGGACAACCCTCACAGAGGGCGGCAGAGGCCCGGCCCAGCCAGGACTCCACCCCGGTGACCTTGGGCAGACACGACTCCTCCCCGAGTCCACCCGCCAGGCAGAGGCGAGGGGCTACCTCAGCCCGCGAGGTCGCCGGACCCCAGGCCCGGACCAAAGCGGCGGAGGGGACGCCCAGCAAGCCCGCGGGGTCGCGACCTTCACCGGGACGCGGCCTACCTGCTAAGGACCGAGCTCCCCAGGCCCCCGAGTACACTCCGCGGCTCCCCCTCGCACCGGCCCAGGGCTCTCCCAGCCCCTTCCCGATCCCCGGGCAGGGGGCGCGGGCACCCGGCGCCCGCTCCGCTCGGACCCGCTGGGGACCGTCCCGCTCCTACCGCCGCCTCGCCCCCCGCCTGCCCTGCCCCGGTCCGCGGCAGGGACTCACCGCCTTGGCCAGCGCCAGCGCCAAGCGCCGAGCGCTTGGCAACCGCGACAGGCCCCGGACCCCCGACACGTCTGTAGTCGCCGCCGCGCAGTCCCGCCAGTCCCTGCGCAGACTGCGCCTGCGCACCACGGCCGGGTCAAGGCGGGGCGCTAGTGGGGGACATCGCGCCTGCGCACCACGACACGCCCGGGCAGGGGTCTAATGGGCGGGGACGCCGCGCCTGCGCAAAGCGGACCCGCGGACGGTGGCGCTGGGTGGCCACGGAGGTCCCGCGCTCCCCGACCGAGATAGGGCGGGCCCTATTTCGGGGAGATGTTGGGCACCAACATTTTTTAAAGCCCCGTGGGTGGTTCTCCGGGATCTCCCAGACCGAGAGGGCCTGAACGTCCAGACCTCAGGGAATGGGGTCGAAGGGGCGGCGCTCGTCCGCGGAGGTGGGCGGGAGCGGCCCGGGGCCTCCGGCCTCTAGAGAGCGGGAGTGACCCTCGGTTTCTGGCCTCCGAGGGGCGGGAGCGATCCTCAGCCATGTCCCTAGTGTCTGGCTTCCGGCTGATTTTTAAATTTTTGGTAGAGGCGGGATCTTGCTCTGTTGCCCAGGCTGGTCTCGAACTTGTGGCCTCAAGCGATCCTACCTCCTCGGCCTCCCCAAGTGCGGAGATTACAGACAGAGCCACTGCGCACGGCCGTGGTCAGCTTTGAAAGCTGGGTAGATCCCTTTGGCTCATACGCCTTTCTGCTAGCTTACCCTGATTCTGCTTCTGGTTCAGATAGTATTTTAATATTTCTAGTGTGTCTTTTTCTAAGATATCTGAAATCTTTTTGTGGAATGAAGTGGCATGAAAAATAAACCAATAATCATTAGTAAGTATGTTTCCTGTCTTTTCACTTTATTAAAATCTTCGTCTTGTGCATCATGTTTAACAATTTTATTTTAGTAAATTTGCAAGGGTTCAGTCCCATTTTACTGATATTTGGGTTGTTTCCCATTTTTGCTCTTAATAACACCATACAGAACATATTTGTGACCATAACTTTCTCTTTAGGATTATTTTTTTAGATGTATGCCCCAGACGTGACCTTTATTGGCTTGCAGGGAATGAACATCATACCTCCTAGACTTATTTTTTTAAAGTTACGCTGTTTTAGTCCTGGGTTAGTTACCTAATTTTGTTTGGTTTGAGACGGAGTTTCGCTCTTGTTGCCCAGGCTGGAGTGGAATGGCGGGATCTCGGCTCACCGCAACCTCTGCCTCCAGGGTTCAAGAGATTCTCCCGCGGAGCTTACAGTGAGCGGAGATGGCGCCACTTCACTCCAGCCTGGGCAACAGAGCAAGACTATATTGCTTTAATTTACTCTGCCGGCTATCTGGAGAGATGCAACCTCATCAGCAGAAATTATTTCCACCCTGCTGCTTTTTAAATGTTATTTCCTATAGCCAGGTACTGAGCCCTTCAATTGAGGTCTAAACCCTCCACCCTCTCCCTCCGGGATTGCCAAGCCTGTGGTTTCAGTTCCATGCTCCCAGGTAGATTGTGTCAACTCAAAGTCAATGCGCTTATGAAATACTTTTTGTGGTTTTTTTCTTAATTTTAAGAGGTTTTTTTTTAAAATATGTTTTTGTTTCATGGAGGCGACACCCTCTGTCTCTGAGTTGTGGGAGCCTTCCTCCTTCAGTCTGCATGTACTGAAGCCAGTGTTTGCCGTACCAGCCCCTCAGCCGCAGCAGCCCACAGTGAGGTGCAGGTGCTCACGCCATCGCCCCAGAGAGCTCCTCCATTCGCCCCTCCACCCGTAGCCCCTCGAAACCACTGCCCTGCTCCCCGACACGGTACACTGTCTTCTCCAAGATGTCATGTGTTGGCATCCTTTGGCCTGTGCCCACCGAAACTAGCTTCCTTCAACGGGCATGTAGCCTGGGAGACCTGGGGCATTTGGGTGCATCTTTCCACTGCTGGTTGGTGCCCCCTGTGTGGAAGCATCCGCGTTAGTTCACGCCTTCTCCTGCTCCTGCCGACGGACATTTTGTTTTCTTCCAGTTATTGGCAATGAGGAATGAGGCCTAAACACTTGTGTGCAGGTTTGTGTGTGCACGTTTAAGTTTTCCCTTGGGGGACATTTCAGCAGTGGGGTTGCTGGATGACATGGTAAGGATGTGCTTAACTTCGTAAGAAACTCCAGGACCACTTTCCAGCATGGCGGGACCCCTCCCATTCCCACTGCAGCTTATGAGGGTCCCAGTTCCTCTGCATCATCACTAGAACCTGGGTTGGCCCATGGGTTTTGTCTGTTTTTAGCCATTTTAATGGATTTGCAGAGGTACTGCTGACTGGCATTTCTCCAGCATCTCTATGATGTTGAGCCTCTTTCTCGGGCAATATGCCCTCCTTATACCTTCTTTGATGAGGCCTCCGTTCCAATATTGGCCCTCTCTTTAATACTGGGGTTTTTACTTTCTTATGGTTAAGTTTTGATGGTTCTTCATATATCCTGCGTGCCAGTAGGTTGTGAGACGTGTGATTCACAAATGTTTATTTCTAGACCATAGTTCATGTTTCATTCTCTTTGGATTTTTATATTGCTTTATAGAATTATAATTTTAAATTTATGACTAAATTTAATTTGTCAATCTTATGAATCATGCTTTTGGTGTCATGTCTAAGAACTTTTCGCCTAACCCCAGGCCATACGAATTTTCCCCTGTGTTTTTAGCTAAGGGTTTGATAGCGTTATGTTCTCCATTTAGGCCTTTAATAAATGTTGAGGAACATTTTGTGACCGCCATGGCCATACCTTTCTCCATCTCTCACGGTATCGTGGGCATTTGCAGCTCCCAGTGCGCCGTGCTGTTCCCGTCTTCTTGGTCTGCTCCTCCTGTCATACCTTTCTCCGTCTCTCACAGTATCGTGGGCGTTTGCAGCTCCCAGTGCCCCGTGCTGTTCCCGGCTTCTTGGTCCGCTCTTCCTGTGAGTTTCAGGGCACGTCTTAGTGCTGGCACTGTCCTGGTCCATCGGGGGTCCCATGAGCTTCTCCATGTGGGAAGGTTGGGACTGTGATGTTGACGGGATGCCCTGTGAGTCAGGAGGAGGTGCTGACGGGGGTTTCCATGTAGGAGAGAGAGGTGTTTGGTTTTCCGGATGGGGCAGACTTGAGAGGGGACAAACTTGAGAAATGCCACCAATGAGAAGGGCACGCACAGCAGGTCTCGGGGCCGCCCAGCCGTGTGGGAGACAAACGTGGATGTGTCAGTGGCCACGCCAGGAGGTAAACCCTCAACCAAGGGCCTCTGGGTGTCCAAGACCAAGTCTTGCTCAAGAGGTGTGTTCAGCTGAGCCAACCATGGCAGAAATGCATAAGGGAGATCCCACGGTTCCTCTGTTTAAATCCCCTGCTAATCCCACCAGACTCAGAGAAGCAGCCAAGTCCTCACAGCAGCCTGCAACCCCCGCCTGACTCGGCCTCCTCTTGGCTCTGATTCTCTGCACCCTTCTATCCCTGTCTCTTCTTCCATCAGAGAGGAGATCCGGCACGTTTATCCTGGTGGATTCAAACCCATCTTTGCCCCACATATAGTCACCGGAATGAATAGGTATAATCTAGAAAGAGTCCTTTTGAAAAAGAAAAAAGCAGGCCGGGCATGGTGGCTCATGCCTATAACCCTGCAGGGACCAGCCCCACAGGGTCGGTGGGTCTCTCCCTGTGTGCGGCGACGAGAGAGTGTAGAAATAAAGACACAAGACAAAGAGATAAGAGAAAGGGCAGCTGGGCCCGGGGGGCCACTACCACCAATGCGCGGAGAACGGTAGTGCCCCGAATGTCTGGCTGCGCTGTTATTTATTGGATACAAGGCAGAAGGGGCAGGGTAAAGAATGTGAGTCACCTGCAATGATAGGTAAGGTCACGTGGGTCACGTGTCCACTGGACAGGGGGCCCTTCCCTGCCTGGCAGCCGAGGCAGAGAGGGAGAGGAGACAGAGAGAAAGACAGCTTATGCCATTATTTCCGCATATCAGGGACTATTAGTATTTTTACTAATTTACTACTGCTATCTAGAAGGCAGAGCCAGGTGTACAGGATGAAACATGAAGGCGGACTAGGAGCGTGACCACTGAAGCACAGCATCACAGGGAGACGGTTAGGCCTCCGGATAACTGCAGGCGAGCCTGACTGATGTCAGGCCCTCCACAAGAGGTGGAGGAGCAGAGTCTTCTCTAAACTCCCCCGGGGAAAGGGAGACCCCCCCCCCTCCCCGCCCTTTCCCGGTCTGCTAAGTATCGGGTGTTGTTCCTTGACACCTTTTGCTATCCGCCTGGTAACAGGCATCTTCCCAGACGCTGGCATCACCGCTAGACCAAGGAGCCCTCTGGTGGCCCGGTCCGGGCATAACAGAAGGCTCGCACTCTTGTCTTCTGGTCACACCTCACTATGTCCCCTCAGCTCCTATCTCTGTATGGCCTGGTTTTTCCTAGGCTACGATTATAGAGCAAGGATTATCATAATATTGGAATAAAAAGTAATTGCTACAAACTAATGATTAATGATATTCATATATAATCATATCTAAGATCTATATCTGGTATAACTATTCTTGTTTTATATTTTATTATACTGGAACAGCTCGTGTCCTCTGTCTCTTGCCTCGGTGCCTGGGTGGCTTGCCACCCACATAATCCCAGCACTTTGGGAGGCTGAGGTGGGAGAATCACCTGAGGTCAGGAGTTTCAGACCAGCCTGGACAACATGGTGAAACCCCATCTGTAGTAAACATATAAAAATTAGTTGGGCGTGGTGGTGCGTGCCTGTAATCCCAGCCACTTGGGAGGCTGAGGCAGGAGAATCATTTGAACCCAGAAGATGGAGGTTGCAGTGAGCTGAGATCGCGCCACTGCACTCCAGCCTGGGTGGCAGAGTGATATTGTCTCAAAAACATAGTAATAGGAATAATAAAGGAAAAGTGCAAAAATTCAAACAACTTAACAGAAACTGGGCAAAAGAGCTGAACCGGCCCTCCACAGAAGAGGAAATGTGGAGGAATGGCTAATGAAAACATGAAGAGGGGCTCAGCCTAACAGGGGGAGATATCACGTGACAACCACCAGACGGGCAAAAATCCCACAACCCAATCCATGCCAGCGTTGGGGAGAATGGAGAGAAGCAGGAACACCAGGCACTGCTAACGCTTGTGAAGTATATTTCTGCTATGCTTGTATATGAAAGTGTGTGTGTTGTGGGTTATGAGGAAAATTACATTTTTACCTGGGATGAAATTTTAAAATTTGAAAGCTACTGACCAGAAGAAACTTGCGCTTGTGTACAAAAGAAATGCCCAAGAACGTTCCCAACAAAACACAGTCCTAAGGGCCCCAACCTGGCCAAACACTCATCCACGGGAAGATGAAGACATTTCCCATGCTCCCCTCAGACGACGGGAGACCATGCAGCAATGAAAATGAGCCATGTCAGTGTGGGTGGGTCTCAGGGAGAGAATGGAGGACAAAAATAGACACAGAGCAGGTGCTCAGAGCCATGCAGTGCAGGAGCAGCCACGCAGGAGAATTCCCTCACGTCAAAGTTCAAAACTACAGCCGAGGCAACAGAGCAAGACCCTGCCTCAAAAAGAAAACAGAAAGTTCAAAAACTAAATGGCATATCTTTTAGGGATGTACACACACGGTGAAAGAAACATACTATGAAGGAAAGTGTGCAAATAATAAAGACTAAAGCAGGAAGTGATTCCCTCCGTAGGAGAAGGGAAGGGACTGGGACTCAGGCAGGGCCTCCAGGGAGCATCCAAAGCTATGTCTCTTCAGATTCTACTCCCTAAACTTGGTGGAGGTCCTCTGTGTCCAATGTGTCAATATTCTTTATACCTTACCCATACTGTAAAAACGCTTTATTTCTATTCAATATTTAGAAGACAGTTATAAACAAGATGCATTCAATAGCATGGTGGCAGATGAACATCAGGAAGGAACATCCATGAGCTTCCATCCACGGAACCTCACCATGGATACGCTTGTGATCAAGGGCCTGGTCTCCCCTCAAGACACGGTCACAGATCAGAGGCCACACCATCCTAGCAGTGGAGCAGGACCAGCTGGGACAGGGTCCTTCTGTGACACCTGCTGCATCACCAGGCTGGGTGAACGGACACAATTGCCAGAACTCACAGAATAGAAGTATCAGCACCGAAACCTCACAGGAAAAATGGTAAGTTCTAAGTTTCTCCATTAATAGTAACTCTCAGATTAATCTCTGTCATCCATCGCTTCTCCAAGAAATGACTTTTTAGGGTGATGTGCCAGGCGCCATGTTGGAGGGCTGGTGGTAGCGGCTTGGGGAGGTGCTCACTCTGTCGGTCTCACTCTCTCACACGCTTCCCCGGCTCCCTTCGTTCCCCCCCACCCCACTTGGCCTGCGTGCTGGAGGGTGTGCGAGGGAGTGGGAGGACGTCGGGGGGTGGGGGGAGGCGTTCCGGTCCCCAAGAGACCCGCGGAGGGAGGCGGAGGCTGTGAGGGACTCCGGGAAGCCATGGACGTCGACAGGCTCCAGGAGGCGCTGGAAGATTTTGAGAAGAGGCAAAAAAGAAAGTCTGTCCTGTCCTGGATCAGTTCCTTTTGTCATGTAGCCAAGACTGGAGAAACAGATTCCGTGGTCCCAATTTAAAGGCTATTTTATTTTCAAACTGGAGAAAGTGATGGATGATTTCAGAACTTCAGCTCCTGCGCCAAGAGGTCCTCCCAACCCTAATGTCGAATATATTCCCTGTGATGAAACAAAGGGAAGAATACTGAAAAACTGTCACTGGATTTAACCGTATCCCTTTTACTATTCAGCGATTATGTGAATTGTTAACAGATCCGAGGAGAAACTATACAGGAACAGACAAATTTCTCAGAGGAGTAGAAAAGAACGTGATGGTTGTTAGCTGTGTTTATCCTTCTTCAGAGAAAAACAATTCCAATAGTTTAAATCGAATGAATGGTGTGATGTTTCCTGGAAATGCACCAAGCTATACTGAGAGGTCTAATATAAATGGGCCTGGGACACCCAGGCCACGTAATCGACCAAAGGTTTCTCTGTCAGCCCCCATGACAACAAATGGGTGGCCTGAGAGCACAGACAGCAAAGAGGCAAATTTGCAGCAAAATGAAGAGAAAACTCAGTGACTCTTCGACATCTGAATCAGAAGTTTCCTCAGTGAGCCCTTTGAGAAATAAACATCCAGATGAAGATGCTGTGGAAGCTGAGGGGCATGAGGTAAAAAGACTCAGGTTTGACAAAAAAGGCGAAGTCGGAGAAATAGCCAGTCAAGCGACTTGCAGCGAAATTTCTTCAGTTATGGTAGAAGAAACAGAAGCATCACCTTCATCTCATGATAAAGACAAAAAAAGCCATGGTACCCGGCAGCGCGTTCAGAAGAAGATGAAGATGAAGAGGAAGAAGAAGGGATTGAGAGACCATCTGTAAAAGGGAGGAGTAAGGAGATCCTCAAATTCTTGCATTCATTGTTTTTGTGAAAGAATTGTACATCATGGAACTCCTTGTAATGTCGACGCTGGGCTTTTCTCCCACCTGTATGCAGTTGCTGCTGAATTTCAGGGGATGTGATTTGAACTACAGAACATCAGAATTCACGAAACTTAACTGTGGAGGTATTTTGAATATAAAATTTAAGTACAACAACATTTGCTTATTTTTAGAGTCTTTTATGACATCAAGAGAAATGGTCCCAGAAAGAAAAAACCAAGAAAAAGAATCTGATGATGCCTCAACTGTGAATGAAGAGACTTCTGAGGAAAATAATGAAATGGAGGAATCTGATGTGTCTCAAGCTGAGAAAGATTTACTACATTCTGAAGGTAGTGAAAACGAAGGCCCTGAAAGTAGTGGTTCTTCTGACTGCCGTGAAACAGAAGAATTAGTAGGATCCAATTCCAGTAAAACTGGAGAGATTCTTTCAGAATCATCCATGGATAATGATGACGAAGCCACAGAAGTCACCGATGAACCACTGGAACAAGACTATTTAGAAACATTTACATGCAGTATTTTACACACAGTTCTGGTTTTAACACTGTATAAAACTTTTATGTAAAAAAGTGCACCTTTAGTTTTATAAGAAAAGCAGGTTGTAAAATAAAGTACTTTATGGATAATTCCTGAAAGAGTTGTCCATGTAAGAACTGTGAATATCAGCTCCTCTGGGTCCTGCTTACCTTACCGCTGATTTCTTTTTCTTTCTTTCTTTCTTTCTTTCTTTCTTTCTTTCTTTCTTTCTTTCTTTCTTTCTTTCTTTCTTTCTTTTCTTTCTTTCTTTCTTTCTTTGGTCTGGGCAAATCAGTGGTTTGTGTATAGATTTTTTTTTTTAATTTAGGATTAAAGTTTTTAAACTGGAAAGTAATTATAATTTTGAACAGTTTTTTGAGATTATCACATTTAGTTTATACATATGCAAGAAGCTTTTTGTCTTGTGTCTTTCTGATAGCTCCAGCAGTTTTCATATTTTGGTCATAGTTTCAACATTTTAACATGTGAATAATAGAGTTTCATGCTGGTTTCCAGATTTTATTGTTCGGATACATACAATAGAACCTTAAGTTTTATATATATATATATATATATATATATATATATATATATATATATATATATATTCTAAGGGGGAAAATGTTATATTTTTCTGTTTGTATAAGAGATAAATACAGTGGATACTTTTTCTATTGGTAATGACTGAGTTCACCTCTTTCAGAAGACATTTTCTTTCTCTTCTGAGTAACTGAAATAAAATCTGGCCTCTGTGAAACCCTGGAAATACCACGACCCTCAACTAGAAACACCAATACCAGCTCCTCCGCGAGTTTCCAGCTCCACAACCTAAGACATCAGAGGCAGCATTGGTTCCTCACGTAGAGTCCAGCTCCGGGACCCTCATATTTGAACCGCAGGGCCATCTCATCCCTGGATCTCCAGCTGCACCACACTCAAATTAGAACAACATCAGTTCCTCCCCAGGTCTCCACCTGCACAGCCCTCGAAAGGGAATGTCAGCTCCTCCCCGGGTCTCCAGCTGTAGGGCCCTAAAACTAGAACATCAGCTCCCGCCTGGGTCGCCAGCAGCACCACCCTCAAACTGGAACATCAGATCCCCACGGGTCTCCAGCTGCAGGGCCCTCAAACTGGAACATCAGCTCCCCACCAGATCTCCAGCTGCACGGACCTCAAACTGGAACATCAGCTCCCCGCCGGGTCTCCAGCTGCACTGCCTGCAAACTGGAACATGAGCTCCCTGCCCGGTCTCCAGCTGCATGGCCCTCAAACTGGAACATCAGCTCCCCACCAGATTGCCAGCTGCACGGCCCTCAAACTGGAATATCAGCTCCACCCCGGGGCTCCAGGTGCACAGCCCTCAACCTGCAACATCAGCTCCCCACTGGGTCTCCAGATGAATGGCCCTCAACCTGCAACATCAGCTCCCCACCGGGTCTCCAGATGCATGGCCCTCAAACTGGAACATCAGCTCCCCACCGGGTCTCCAGCTGCATGGCCTTAAACTGGAACATCAGCTCCGAGACCCTCAAACAGGAACATCAGCTCCCCACAGGGTCTCCAGCTGCACAGCCCTCAAATTGCAACATCACTTCCCCCCTGCATGTCCAGCTGCACCGCCTCAAACTGCAACATCAGCTCCCCGCTGGGTCTCCAGCAGCATGGCCCTCAACCTGGAACATCAGCTCCCCCCAACCCGGGTCTCCAACTCCACAGCCCTCAACCTGCAACACTGGCTACCAACTGGGTCTCCAGATGCATGGCCCTCAAACTGGAACATCAGCTCCACCCCCGGTATCCAGCTGCACAGCCCTCAAACTGGAACATCAGCTCCCTGCCGGGTCTCCAGGTGCACGGCCCTCAAACTGGAACATCAGCTCCCCACCAGGTCTCCAGCCGCACGGCCCTCATACTGGAACATCAGCTCCCCACCAGATCTCCAGCTGCACAGCTCTCAAACAGGAACATCAGCTCCCCACAGGGTCTCCAGCTGCACGGCTCTCAAACAAGAACATCAGCTCCCCACAGGGTCTCCAGCTGCACGGCCCTCAACCTGCAACACTGGCTCCCCACCGGGTCTCCCGATGCACGGCCCTCAAACTGCAACATCAGTTCCCCCCGGGCATACAGCTGCATGGCCTTAAACTGGAACATCAGCTCCCCGCTAGGTCTCCAGGAGCACGGTCCTCAAACTGGAACATCAGCTCCCTGCCAGGTCACCAGCTGCATGGCCCTCAAACTGGAACATCACCTCCCCGCCAGGTCTCCAGCTGCATGGCCCTCAAATTGCAACATCAGCTCCCATCAGAGCCTCCAGCTGCATGGCCATCAAACTGGAACATCAGCTCCCCCGCGGGTCTCCAGCTGCACAGACCTCAAACTTGAACATCAGCTCCCCGCCGGGTCATCAACTGCATGGCCCTCAAACTGGAACATCAGCTCCACCCCTGGGTCTCCAGTAGCACGGCCCTACAACTGGAACATCAGCTTCCCCCTGGGTCTCCGGCTGCACAGCCCTACAACCGGAACATCAGCTCCCTGCCGGGTCTCCAGCTGCACAGCCCTCAAACTGGAACATCAGCTCCCCGCTGAGTTCAAACTATTCCAGTTTGAGGGCCGTGCAGCTGGAGACCCGGCGGGGAGCTGATGTTCCAGTCTGAGGGCCGTGCAGCTGGAGACCCGCGGGGGAGCCGAACTTCCGGTTTGAGGGCCATGCAGCTGGATACCCGGTGGGGAGCTGAAGTTCCAGTTTGAGGGCCGTGAAGCTGGAGACCCGTTGGGGAGCTGAAGTTCCAGTTTGAGGGCCGTGAAGCTGGAGACCCGGTGGGGAGCTGATGTTCCAGTCTGAGGGCCGTGCAGCTGGAGACCCAGTGGGGAGCTGATGTTCCAGTCTGAGGGCCGTGCAGCTGGAGACCCGGTGGGGAGCTGAACTTCCAGTTTGAGGGCCATGCAGCTGGATACCCGGTGGGGAGCTGAAGTTCCAGTTTGAGGGCCATTCAGCTGAAAGACTTGGGGAGAAGCTGATGTTCCAGTTTGAGGGCCGTGCAGCTGGAGACTCGGGGATAGCCGATGTTGCAGTTTGAGGGCCGTGCAGCTGGAGACCCGGGTGGGAACCGATGTTCCAGTTTGGGAGCCATGCAGCTGGAGGCACTGCGGGGAGCAGATGTTCCAGTTTGATGTTCCTCCCTGGGTCTCCAGGTGCACGGCCATCAAACTGGAACATCAGCTCCCCGGCCCTCAAACCGGAACATCAGCTCCCCGCCGGATCTCCAGCTGCACAGCTGTCAACATCAGCTCCTCCCCGAGTCCTCAGCTGCACGACCCTCAAGTTAGAACATCAGCTTCTCCCCAAGTCTTCAGCTGCGTGACCCTCAATCTAGAACATCAGTTCCTCTACAGGTCTGCAGCTGCAAGACCCTCAATCTAGAACGTCAGCTCCTCCCTGAGTCTCCAGCTGAAACACCCTCAAAACGAACAACATCAGCTCCTCCCTGAGTCTTCAGCTGCACGACGCTCAATCTACAACATCAGCTCCTGTCTGGTTCTCCAGCTGCACGACCCTCAAACTACAACCTCAGCTCTTCCCCGAGTCTTCTGCTGCATGACCCTCAATCTAGAACATAAGCTCCTCTCTCGGTGTCCACCTGTAGGGACCTCAAATTAGAACGTCAGCTCCTCCC
This sequence comes from Homo sapiens, assembly GCF_000001405.40. Taxonomy (NCBI): domain Eukaryota; kingdom Metazoa; phylum Chordata; class Mammalia; order Primates; family Hominidae; genus Homo; species Homo sapiens. Next base: position 147,234 of record NT_187690.1, read on the forward strand.
AGAGTCTTCAGCTGCATGACCCTCAATCTTTAACATCAGCTCCTCTCCGGGTCTGCAGCTGCATGACCCTAAAAATACACGAGCAGCTCCTCCCTGAATCTTCAGCTGTACGACCCTCAAACTACAACATCAGCTCCTGTCTGCATCTCTAGCTGCAGGGCCCTCAAACTAGAATATCAGCTCCTCCCCGATTTTTCACCTGCATGACCCTCAAACTAGAACATCAGCTCCTGTACAGATTTCCAACTGTAGGGCCCTCAAACTAGAACATCAGCTCCTCCCCAAGTCAGCAGCTGCAAGACCCTCAAATTAGCAACTCAGCTCCTCCCGGAGTCTTCAGCTGCATGACCCTCAATCTCGAAGATCAGATACTCTCCGGGTCTTCAGCTGTAGGGCCCTCAAACTATAACATCAGCTCCTCTCCGAGTATTCAGCTGCACGACCCTCAATCTCGAACATCAGCACCTCTTCAGGTCTGCAGCTGTAGGGCCCTCAATCTAGAACATCAGCTCCTCCCTGAGTCTTCTGCTGCACGACCCTCAAACTAGAATCTCAGCTCCTCCCAAGTCTTCAGCTGCACGACCCTCAAACTAGAACCTCAGCTCCTCCCTGAGTCTTCAGCTGCATGACCCTTAATCTAGAACATCAGCTCCTCCCCGAGTCTTCAGCTGCACGACCCTCAATCTAGAACATCAGCTCCTCTCCAGGTCTGCAGCTGCAAGACCTTCAAACTAGAACATCAGCTCCTCTCCAGGTCTGCAGCTGCAAGACCTTCAAACTAGAACATCAGCTCCTCCCCGAGTCTTCACCTGCATGACCCTCAAACTAGAACATCAGCTCCTCTCCAGGTCTCCAGCTGCACGACCCTCAAAGTAGAACATCAGCTCCTCTCCGGGTCTGCAGCTGCAAGATCCTCAAACTAGAACATCAGCTCCTCTCCAGGTCTGCAGCTGCAAGACCCTCAATCTAGAACATCAGCTCCTCTCCAAGTGTGCAGCTGCACGACCCTCAATCTAGAACATCAGCTCCTCTCCAGGTCTGCAGCTGCAAGAACCTCAAACTAGAACATCAGCTCCTCTCCAGGTCTCCAGCTGCACGACCCTCAAACTAGAACATCAGCTCCTCTCCGCGTCTGCAGCTCCACGACCCTCAATCTAGAACATCAGCTCCTCCCCGGGTCTTCAGCTGCACGACCCTCAAACTAGAACATCAGCTCCTCCCTGGGTCTGCAGCTGGAAGATCCACTAACTAGAACATCAACTCCTGTCTAGGTTTCCAGCTCCATGACCCTCAATCAAGATTATCAGCTCCTCTCTGAGTCCCCAGCTGAAAGACCCTCAACGTGAACAACATCAGCTCCTCCCGAAGTCCTCAACTGCATGACCCTCAAACTACAACATCAGCTCCTCCCCGAGTATTCAGCTGCATGACCCTCAATCTAGAACATCAGCTCCTCTCTGACTCTGTAGCTGGAAGATCCACTAACTAGAACATCAGCTCCTGTCTGGGTCTCCAGCTCCATGACCCTTAATCAAGATTATCAGCTCCTCCCTGAGTCCCCAGCTGAAAGACCCTCAACACGAACAACATCAGCTCCTCCCAAAGTCCTCAACTGCATGACCCTCAAACTACAACATCAGCTCCTCCCCGAGTCTTCAGCTGCATGACCCTCTATCTAGAACATCAGCTCCTCCCCGGGTCTGCAGCTGCACGACCCTCAATCTAGAACATCAGCTCCTCCCCGGGTCTGCAGCTGCACGACCCTCAATCTAGAACATCAGCTCCTCCCCGGGTCTGCAGCTGCACGACCCTCAATCTAGAACATCAGCTCCTCCCCGGGTCTGCAGCTGCACGACCCTCAATCTAGAACATCAGCTCCTCCCCGGGTCTGCAGCTGCACGACCCTCAATCTAGAACATCAGCTCCTCCCCGGGTCTGCAGCTGCACGACCCTCAATCTAGAACATCAGCTCCTCCCCGGGTCTGCAGCTGCACGACCCTCAATCTAGAACATCAGCTCCTCCCCGGGTCTGCAGCTGCACGACCCTCAATCTAGAACATCAGCTCCTCCCCGGGTCTGCAGCTGCACGACCCTCAATCTAGAACATCAGCTCCTCCCCGGGTCTGCAGCTGCACGACCCTCAAGGTAGAACATCAGCTCTTCCCCGAGCTAAAACACCTCTCCCACCTGGATCTCCAGCTCCACGAGTCTCACAGAACAGCCACACTGGCTCCTTCATTGTCTTCAGCTCCACAACCTAAGACATCAGTGGGAGCACTGGCTCCTCCCTGGACCTCCAGCTCAACGACTCTCATAGACTTAAAAGGCAGCACCTGCTCCTCCCCAAGGCTCCATCTCCACCACCCTCAGATTTGAACAGCGGTAGCACCACCTCCTCTCCAGGTCTTCAGCCCCATGTCCCTCCCTGAACAATCCCTTCTCATGAAATTCAGCAGTCAAGAAATCTGCAGCGGAAGTAAATGAATAAACGTTTTGTTTTCAAATTGATATCTCTTTTATGTTCATGAATTAACTTTTCTACTTTCCATTAGCCTTGCAATCTACTTATGTCCAAGGTGAAACAGAAACACACCATTTGAAATCACGTTTAAAAACTTAGTAATGTTTTTCAATAAAATCATCACACAGCTGTAGACATGATCTTATTTCTCTCTGCCTGTGCAGAAGTCTTATGAAAATTCAAACTATGAATTTACTTTGTTGAGATTCCCAGAATACACATTAATCCCAACTGTTACTCCCCTCCTTAAAATCTTTTAACACATTCCCATCACCTGAGCATAAATGCCAGCTCCCATCCACAGCCCGAAGTGCCCAGCACGGCCCTGCCCTCTGCCCTGGTCTATGGTCTCCCCTCTTAAATGCCAGCACCATCCACAGCCCACAGTGCCCAGCACGGCCCTGCCCTCTGCCCTGCCCTCTGCTGTGGCCTAAGGTCTCTCCCCGGTGCCGTTCCCTTCCTGACGGACAGGCCTCTGTCCGTTCCTCAAACCACACAGGCTCAGGCCTCACTCCAGGCCTTTGCGCTTCTGTGCCCTCTGCCTAGGGTGCCTTTCCCGGGCTCTGCATCCTCCTCTCAACCCACTGAGCTCCAGCCTGCTGGTCGCCCCTCAGGTGGATGAATACACGGTGTCCTCTCACCCCACCAGCTTTTGCACAGGCTCTTCTCTGTGCCAGACAAACACCCTATCGGGGTTTACTCTCTAAATACCATTCATCCTTGGAGTCTCCACTGAAATATCGCTCCCTGCCCACCCCCCTCACTTGGACTTAACCTTGGTTAGGTTGCCAACCCCCGTCTCCTGACTCCGGGAAGCTAGATGCTCTCCTAGCACTCGGAACTTGCCCATTGCCACATTTGCACACCCGTGGTTACTGGGTTAGGTTGGCGCACAAGTCATCGCGGGTTTTGCCATTACTATTAATGAACGGCAGCAACGGCTCCTCCCCGTTTCTTTTGTTTTTTTTTTCGCCATTACTTTTAATGACTGCTGCACCAACCTATTAGAATCATTTATATTTATCCATCCATCATCTGCCTTCCCCTCTAGAAAGGAAGCTCCATGAGAATAGAGGCCAAATCTACTCAAATCACTCCACCTTCCCAGCACATTGTTTGTCAATAATCATTTACCAACTGACTGATAGAGAAATGCCTTCCCTGTTGCTGGGATGAGGCACATGACACGCCCCTTTGAAAGTCAATTCCATGGACAGTTAGCATTTGCTCTTCACTCCTGCACCCGTGGCGTGGCTGGGCTTAGGCTGATCTAGTCTGGCCTTGACTCCAGGCTAAGGATGGGAACCATGACTGCTCCACACGCCTCTCATCCCACAGCCAGAGCCGCCGTTCCCTGGGGCACGTGCATCTCATGGGGAAAATCAAGAGCCTTAGACGGCAGGCCTGGCAGTGCCCACACATTCCAGGCTTCTGCTTGTGCCGTGTCTGTGAAAATCTCGTTGGCAGAAGCAAGTCACCCAGCCACGAGCAACACCTATGGGACGGATAAGTCCATCCACCCTCCCTCGGGCCCTGGCAAGGTTGTGGCTATGTCATACTCTTACGGGGGGAGTGAAAAATTGAGGCCCAACATTAAATCACCCACGCGAGAAATGTCAGCCTCTGTCCCCACGCTGGAATCATTTTTCACCAGCGGGTTTGCCTGAATTCCCTTTGCAATGGTGTCTGCAGGTTTAGCCCAATGCTGGTCCCCGTGGAGGACACAGAAGCCTCAATGGGCCTCCGTCTGTTGGGAAGAACAAGATATTAGCTTGGCGCAAAACCACCGCAAGCCCCAGGAGGCCCTTGTGCCATGAGACAGGAGAGGGGCAGAGAACTGTGGGAACTCAGGAAAGCTCACATCCCCAGCCCCTCCCGTGCATCCCCAGCCCCTCCGCTGTGACCCCAGCACCAGCCCTCTCCCCTGCTTGCCCCATCTCTGCTTTCTTTTTTTCATTTTCTTTCTTTCCTTGTTTTTGAGACAGGGTTTGGCTCTGTCACTCAGGCTGGAGTGCAATGGCACGATCTCAGCTTACTGCAACCTTCACCTCCTGGGCTGAAGCAATTCTCCCTCCTCAGCCTCCCCAGTGGCTGGGACTACAGGTGCACGCCACCATATCCAGCTAATTTTTTTTTTTTTATTTTGGTAGAGACAGGATTTGCCATGTTGCCCAGGCTGGTCTCAAATTCCTGAGCTCAAGTAATCCTCCCACCTCAGCCTCGCAAAGTGCTGGGATTACAGGCATGAGCCACCGAGTCCAACCTACTTTATTTTTCTCTACAGTACTTGGAACCTTCTAATGTACTAAGGACACGTGTATTTTCTTTCTTTTTTGTCTTCCCTAGAACAGGAGCTTAATGTGGGCAGGTATTTTTGTTGATCTCATTTATCACCCTCTCCCCAGTTCCTGGAACAGGGTCTGGCACATGAATGGTGTGTTCTAAATAAATATTTTTAATAGATAAATAAATGAAATATCCTACAAGAGAAAGCTATATCTGGAACTCACCCATCAACAGAACCTAAAAGCCAAAGACCTTTAGCCTGTCTCTGCCTCTGAACACACCCAACCCCGGAGGAGCCAGCAGAGGAAAAAGAGGAACAAAGGCGGGGAAGGGAGCAGGTGGTGCCCACCAAGCAAGGAACCCTGAGGCTTAGGCCGAACCTGAGCTGGAGAAGGGACTCATCTAGGAACTGGGTATGAGATTAAAGTTTAGATTGGTCTGGCCTGGATTTTGTAACACCTAAACAAGAGTTATTCTATTCTTTTTTTGTTTTTTTTTTTTGAGATGGAGTCTCACTGTCCCCCAGGCTGGACTGTAGTGGCGCTATCTCAGCTCACTGCAACCTCTGCCTCCCAGGTTCAAGTGATTCTCATGCCTCAGCCTCCCGAGTAGCTGGGATTACAGGCGCACACCACCATTCCCGGCTAATTTTGTATTTTTAGTAGAGATAGAGTTTCACCATGTTGGCCCCCGGCTCACGCCTGTAATCCCAGCACTTTGGGAGGCCGAGGTGGGTGGATCATGAGGTCAGGAGATTGAGACCATCCTGGCTAACACGGTGAAACCCCATCTCTATTAAAAATACAAAAAATTAGCTGGGCGTGGTGGCAGGTGCCTGTAGTCCCAGCTACTCAGGAGGCTGAGGCAGGAGAATTGCTTGAACTCCAGATGCAGAGGTTGCAGTGAGCCAAGATCAATGCCACTGCACTCCAGCCTGGGTGACAGGGCAAGCCTTCATCTCAAAAACAAACAAACAAACAAACAAAAAACCTTCAAACGAATGTAAGAATTATTATTTTTTAAAGTACAACTTTAAAAATGCCCCTTACAAATACATCAGTGTTATATTAAGGGAAACCCACTTCAGAAGCACAAAGTTAATTTCTTATAATTCCAAGAAATATGTGAATGTTAAAAAAAACCCAAACACCCGAAAAGGGATCAATCTCAAGATAGTTTGTAACATTTTATTGCAAAAAGAAGGGCAGAGAACAGTCTTCTTCATACCTGTTCACCGTAATAATTTTTAGCAGCTCTCCTGTGCAAAGAAGTCTCATCAATCAATCAGCATACGGGCCACAAATACCTTCTCAGTGCGGTTTCACCTACAATACAAGCACTCAGAAGCACAAATTTAACTGAAGTGAGAAACCAGGCCATTTTGTAGCTTCAGTTTTTCTACCAGTAATATATTAATTTCTTGAAATAGCCTAATAATTTAGTTCTACTATCAAAACAGAAGCCCAATCTGGGAGAACAATTATTATACAAGTCAAACTAATTTCAATCATATTAGTATAGGAATTCATATTAGTATAGGCTAATAATTCATATTAGTAGAGGCGGGAGGATCGCTTGAGCCTAGGAGTTTGAGACCAGCCTGGGCAAGACAGTGAGACTCCATCTCTAATTTTTTTTTTAAATAAAGAAACTCAGAGAGGAGAAGGAAGCGGATTGATATGTGTCTATCCAAGCACAAATTTTGTGTGCCTGTACATACAACACGACTATGAACCTTCCTTCACGCAGCTCACAATCTAGTAGCGAGAGAAAAGTACGAAAACATGAGCCCCCACGATGAGGAAAAAGGCGCATATCAGAGAAAAGAAAAATGCTGCGATGATCCAATGGCAGGAGCAGCGCGCATCCACTTTCTTTGTTTTTTTGAGATGGGGTTTCGCTCTGTCTCCCAGGCTGGAGTGCCGTGGCTTGATCTCAGCTCAATGCAGCCTCAACCTCCCAGGCTCAAGTGATCTTCCCATCTCAGCCTCCCAAGTAGCTGGAACTACAGGCGTGCACCACTACACGTTTACTTTTTGTAGAAACAGGGTCTCACAATGTTGCCAAGGCTGGCATCCTGAAGGGCGGGTGGGGCTTCATCCTACAGAGATGAAAGGCAGAAGAAGCTCAGAGCCCAAAGCAAAGGGGTGGAGGACAAGGGCATCTTCAGAACAGAGTGGCTCAGCTGAGACATCCAGTAGGATGCCACCAGGCAGAGGTGTGGTGGAAAAACACAGGGCCACAGGGTGAATGCTCACATGTGAGGAGCAAACCACCACAGAACACAACAGAAACACGGTGTACTAAATCAGGCTTCAAATCGCAGCCCTGCAACTTCAGAGCTACCACAGGTAACCCAGAAAGGGAGCACGGACAGCACCGCCCACTGCCTGAGGCTATGAGATGGACCAGAAACCTGTGCTTACTAACAACCTGCCTTATTCCAGAAGGAATTCAGGAAACACAAAGACACTCACAGTACAGCAAAATAAAGTAAATGTGAATCATGTTGGCTGAGGAGAAAGTGAAGAGTCTAAGACTATGTCATAAAGTTTACCTCTACTCTAAACTCTCATTACTGGTGAGCCACCAATCTGACTTTAAGTTTTCTAGCAGCTAAATTGAAGAGGAAAATGTAATCAGGTAAAGGTTTATAAGATGCAAACAAAACAGGACAGCCACCACAGTTTCTGAGAAGACGCGCAGCTCCAGCTCCAGGAGAAACAGGGTGGCCATCTCCTGGGGCTGCCCCGCAGCAGGTGTGTCAGCCCCAAAGCCAGCGTCTCTCAGGGTGAACGGTGACTATGGGCTTCATGGGGCCACACACCTCCAGTACAAGCTGAGGAAATCTCCCAGGGCAATTCAAGGAACAGGGTCTCACAATGTTGTCCAGGCTGGTCTCAAACGATCCCCCTGCCTCGGCCTCCCAAAGTGTTGGGAGGTCAGACGTGAGCCACTGCATCTGGCCCCGCATGCACTTTATAGAGGAGGGCTTTGCATCCTGAAGGGCGAGTGGGGCTTCATCCTGCAGAGATGAAAGGCAGAGGAAGCTCAGAGCCCAAGGTAAAGGGGGGCGCCTAACAAAAGCGACTCCATTGGGACCACGGTGAGAGGGTCCCCATACACAGCTTGGGTTAAGCCAGACACTGATTTCAAAGTATCTCAGGAATGGTGGACTCAGCACCTGTCAGGCAATTCTCTCTCTCAAGCAGGCTCCTGGTAGATATTTAGTAGCAGCTGAAATCAAGATTATGTTCTGACTGACACTTGCTGAGGGTTAAAGAGCTATATACGCTTTGAGGACCAGCTGAACTGGGGCAGGACTAACACCCTCTGGTGAAAATACGGGAACCCAAACACACGAGTCAGAGCAGGAGGTGTCTCCCCCACCTCCAAACAATAACGCTGACCTTGGATTTGGGTTAAGTGCCTAGCCCAGGGGTGTGAGTGTTCAGGAAGTGGAAACCATCATCACCATCATCAGGTAATGGAAAACCATCAAAGCTTTGAGCTGGCTTGTTAGCCAAGAATAGTAGTAGTGTATTAGCTACTACTAATACTCACAGCTGACAATTACTGAGCACTTGCTCCGTGCCAGGAATCACGGAGGCACCTCGCATGCATTTCCTCAATACTCCCTCCCAGTAACGGCGAGGACACAAAACTGGTAGAGCCAGGACTGGAATCCAGGCAGGCCCCAAGGCACTCCAGTGGAGCCTGCCAAGGAGGGCAGGCTACCATGCTAATGAGGTCCAGTATTTGACCACCACTCCTAGTTGAGCAAATTAACAGAAAACCTAAAACTAAACTTAAAATCTAAAAATTTGAGCAAATGCATAAAAAGCAGCTGTTAAAATGGATCATAAATCTTGCATCACTCGCTGGAAAACCACTCAAAATAAACGTCTCTGAGACATGGCCTCTGAGGAGGGCACTCCGTGTGGCTCGTATCACCCTGGTGACAAACCACGTGAACCTGGGTGGTCACCTGACCATATTGAACAGACGATGCACAGAGCCATTTGCATCCACTGTGGTCAACATTTAGGAAGTTTTAAGCTAAGATTTGCCAAATTGTAGCCTACTGGATTCCGGGTTCTCTTGACATCTCTTTCTAGTCGCCATGTCTTGCACTTCCCGAGTATAAATAAACTGAGATGCAAATAAAAAAAGGAGGATTTAAGAATAATGAAAAGAGAAAAATCAAGAAAGCACAATCACTAGTGTAGAGATAACAGAATTTCTGAATTCCCTGAAAACAATCTATATAAATGCATGTGAAATAATACACCAGCATCTGTGGCCCATACGTCACATATTAGGAACTGATAACATAAGGTAAACATGTTACTCTGAAAACACAAATCCTCACAAATCATTAGGCAGTAAGACTGAATCCAGCACCTCCCCCCCCACCACCCACAGCGCAGTGAGGCAGTGTCTAGCAGCCGTAGTGCTCCCCGCGCCCCAGTTCAGTCTCTGGCAACATCAGATACTTCCCACTAATAACGAGGAGCCTTTCAACATTTTCACAACATCTCAAAACTGACCCCTTTTCTAGCTTAAATGGCACGGATCTGGAAAGGCAAACTATACACAGAATCAGAAAAGATGACTGCCCCTGAGGGATTACAGAAAAAGCAGCAGTCAGGTGTTCAATGAAGTAAAATGTATCCAATGATAGCTCAGGGGAGGGGGATCAATTGAGCTGAAACTGGCAAGAACGTAACTCCAGGGAGCTCACAACACGCCAAGGACCCAGATTTCCCGCTGCCTGAACGCCCAATATTCGCACACTGATAAGAACGCCTCCCCATAACTCCCCTGCCAGCGCCTCCAACACCCCCAATCCTTTCCCCAGGAACCCAGTCCCAGTTTCTGCAGTTCCTGTAACAGCCACGTTCCCACACAAGTGCTGCCTGAGCTCCCCAAGCCCTCCAACAATCACCCCCCAGTGCCCTCGAAGGTCTATTCAGAGAAGTCACCAAGATGCAGTCACCCAGGAAATTCAAGGACCCCCAACTTACCAAAAGGCTTTCGGCTGGACAGAGCTAACCTTCCTATTCCCCTCCTAAACCTACAACCTAGTTTTCATTTCTCAAGAAGCCTTTCCCTGCGCTCACGCACGCCGTTGTTAGCTGGCTCGGTGAGGCACTCCAAGCAGTAACAGCGGTAGCCACAAAATAAACCAGAAGCATCTCCACCATGAAGCAGTAATAATTTGTCCTAATGATTCCTTTGTCCTTGGAAAATCAACTTCAGAAAGAAAGTTATCCACTGTGAGCAGGGCAGGCTCGCGGCTTCTTGGTCCGGAGACCCAGGTCCCACTGGCCCACTCACCCTTGGAGAGAGCTTGCTGAAGCTGGGTGTCCGATATCACTCCACTCCTCTCTATCAACCCTATAACATCAAGAAGACCAAACAAGCTGGCGATCGAAAGTTCAGGAAAAGCAAAACAAACGTCTCCTGTCAACCCTGCACCGACTCTGGAAGGCTCCCTCCTGGAACCTCCGCCTCTCCGGTCCCGCTGAGGAGTACAGCGGAATCAAGGAAGTGCCCCAGGAGCCACGTCCAAGTGTGTTCTTCCCCTAAGAGGACAATCATCTTTCTCTCTCTTTTCCCACCTCAATCCTTCCCTTCCTTCCCCTCCTGACCTGTCTGAATTCCCATTTGCACCAGTTTCCCTTTTTCACAGACAAGACAAGATTCCCTCAGATAACTAAGCCATTCCCTGGCCATGAGTTACTACAGTTTCGGTCATTCATTCAGTGGAAAAGCGACCAGGGACAGAAGGCGCCGCCATAAAGGTCACCTGGCCCGAGCAGACGCCAGGTCGCTGCTTCTTCCTTGGCTGCTGACATTTTAACAGCGGCCCAGACAGTCTGTTTCCGCTTTCCCCAAACAAGCACCCTGGAGACCCTCCCCCGACGGCTCGAGGCGAGAAACGGGGCCTGGCCCAGGAGCCGGTGGCCGCGACCTCGGGTCTGCAGTGGCGCCCTCTGCACCTTGGGAAGCGCCCGACGCACAGGACAGGGACCGGGCAGGAGGCAGGGGCGGCCCCAGGAGACCGGGCAGCGGACGGGGGAGACCGCGGGGGACCCGGAAGGGGATGGGGGCGGCCGCGGGGGTCGGGGCAGGGGATGGGGGCGGCCGCGTCGGTCGGGGTAGGGTTCGGGGGCGCCCGCGGGGGTCCGGGCAGGGGCGGGGGAGACGGCGGAGGTCGGGGCAGGGGACGGGGGAGGCCGCTGGGGACCCGGCAGGTGACGGGGGAGGCCGCGGGGCAACCGGCAGGGAACGGGGTTGGCCGCGGGGGTCGGGACACGGGTCCGGGGCAGCTGCGGGGGAGGCGGGAGGTGCCGGGGCGGTGCCAGGTGGCAGCTCTGGAAGACGTTCCACAGGAAGCTCTGGTCGGGCAGCGCCGCGCCCGCAGCAGGCCCAGGGCCGCCCAAGGCCGGGGCGGTAGGAGTAGGCGGCCAAGGGCCAAGGCGCGCGGCTGGGCTGAGGCACCTGCGGCCACGGGCGACCTCAGAGCGACTGTGCTTCCGCCTCTGCCGGGGGCAGGGCCAGGCGTTACCGCCGCTTCCGGGGGCGCAGGAAATGCGCGTTGTCCGGGATCCTCCGGCGCAGGCCACCTGCGCGCGGGGCCGGGAAGGCGCTTGGAGGAAATGTCCCGCGCCGCGACCCGGGACAGGCAGTGATGGAGCAGGGATTTCGTTTGCCTTTTAGTTCTTGTATAAAAAGAAGTTTTGACGTGAATATGATTCACGCTAACAGTCGGAAACTCTGGGCGGGGCGCGGTAGCTCACACCTGGGATCCCTGCGCTTTGTGAGGCGGAGGCGGGCGGAGCTCTTGAGCCCAGCAGTGCGGACCAGCCTGGGCAGCGGGGCTAGACCCCATCCCTACAAAAATTACAGCAAGTAGTCGGGCGTGGTGGGCTCCTGTGGTCCCATGTACTCCGTGGGCTGAGGCGGGAGGATCGCCTGAGCCCGGGAGGTCGAGGCCGCAGGGAGCCGAGATCACTGCAGCTCCAGCCCGGTGGACAGCGAGACTCTGCAAAAAAAAAAAAAAAAAAAGCAAGCAGGCCGGGTGCGGTGGCTGACGCGTGTAATCCCAGCACTTTGGGAGGCCGAGGCCGGTGGATCACCTGAAGTCAGGAGTTCGAGACCAACCTGGCCAATATGGAGAAACCCAGTATCTACTAAAAATACAAAATTAGCCGGGCGTGGTGGCGCACGCCTGTAATCCCAGCTACTCGGGACGCTGAGGCAGGAGAATTGCTTGAACCCGGGAGGCGGAGGTTGCAGTGAGCCGAGATCAGGCCATTGCACTCCAGGCCTGGGCAACAAGAGCAAAACTCCGTCTCAAAAAAAAAAAAAAAAAAAAAAAAGGCAAAGCACAATTCGCGTGGGAAGGGCAGTGTGCAGCGTTCTCCGTTGTCTGTTCCGCCCCCAAAAGCTTCCCTCCTTTAGGTTTAACCTGCGCCCCCGCGCTCTGCATCAGCGCGGTCCCCGACCGGTGCAGCTGGAAACACTGGGCGCCTCCCTGCCGGGCCCCTTCCCGCCCCTGTGGTGGTGCAGCCCTGCCTCCCGCAAGACAGCACTGCCTTCGTGCTGGACACAGTTCTATGGTGGAGCCTGGAGTGCCTGTATCACAAATCCCGGAGTTGGGAAGTGCCCACCTTTGGGCCAGTGTGATCCCTGGGTCTTTCCCGGGGTGGTCTCATGCGGCCTTCCACTCCAGTCCTGTGTCCTGTGCCCCGGTTCAGAATACTACAATTATTCTCGTTATTTCATGGGGTTATTCCAGCTTTTCAGTTTCGTCAGTGCCTCATTCCATGAATGCTAACTTTTTTCATCCTCATAGTTCCTAGGGTTGTCTCTGAATTTTCACCCAGTTGCCTACCAAGATGTTGTCTGTGTCTAATGCAGGGGATGGTGCAGGTCTGAATATCTTACTCACAGCTCACCTTTTTGGTGCCTTTGATCCGTGTTAGGAATTATCCACATCTTCTCTCTGGGCAGTATTCTACTTTCTTTTTATATTGACCCAATTATTTTACTTCTTTGGTGTGTCCTTTCTCCTAACACATACGGGTTCACTTTGAAACCTTGAAACCCACATTTACAAAAACATTTTCAATATGAAACATTGTTCCATGACTCATTACTGGAGTACCATCAACATTTACATTTCCAGACCACCCACTGCCCAGTGGTTTTCTTGGTCTCAGTACTCATGAAAACGGTCTGAAGGTTTGTTTTGGGTTCCTAAGTAGTAGACACACGCACAACACTGCCTGTCAGTTATTTCTTGGAAACTAAATCAGCCCTTCTGTTGCCATCCTATCATGCTTCAGGGGTGCCTGTGCTAGTTTTTAATTCTTTGTTCTAACACTTAAATGTTTGCTCAAACGCCCATATTAATACTTCCTCTTAGTTTACAAAAGGATTTACTTTCTTACTGGTTGGGATGAAGCTGCCTGAGGTTGCCACCTGTTATTTTTCCTTCATTTATTGGACCATGTCATCCCATTACATGTCAGCCGTGGAGGTTTTCAAACTGTGGTCCCTGGACATGTTAAAAATGCAAATTCTCAGGCCGAACCAGGACTGAATTGGAAGATCTGGGGTAGGGTCCCCCCAGGACTGAATCAGAAGATCTGGGAGGGTCTGGTGCTGTGCACCCCGACATTCCCTCACTACCCCACTGCCTCTCCCTGCCCTGTGGTCACCACAGCAGCCGCCTCTGCAACCTTGACTATCAGCATGCAGGTCCCAGGACTCGGGGGTCTCCTAACCCGTGCACCCCGACATCCCCCTCACTACCCCACCGCCTCTCCCTGGCTCTGCCTCTGCGTGGCTCCTCTCCTGCTGCCCCCAGAAGGTTTTTGTAAAGCCCGACTCAGGGCGTGCATGGCCTCTCCCTCTCCCACACATGGGCTCCCCGTCCCCTCCAGCTCAGCAAACACACAGCACATCCAGGAGCCACGTGGGACCGCAGTGTCCCATGGCCGGTCCCCCAGATCCCTTGGATGTCTCACTCTGGTGAGCCCCTCGCTCCAGTGCCCTCCAGGAAGCCCCCGTCTCCCCATACAGAAGGGATCTCTTCCCTCCTGAGCCATCGGTGCCCGACCCTCCCTCTCCTCTGTCGCCCCATTTGTGGCAGGTCAGCCACACCCGTGAGCCCCGGAGCTCTGTGAAGGCCGTCACGGCTCCTTATGACGGCGCCCAAACAGTGCAGGCAGCCGGAAGCTGTTCCCTGATGAAAGAAAGGAAGAGGAAAGGAGGAGGGAGGGAAGAAGGCCTTTTCTTGTCCCGAGAGACTTCTGTAGGAATTTTTGGGTGATACTGAGCATGGTAGACCCAGGTCATCTTTCCACGAGAGGGGCCAGAGTACCGCAGGCTCAGCCGCGGTCAGGGGCTCAGGGCGCCGGGGAAGCATTCGCGTGGGCTGCCCCCACGGGCCGCCTTTGCCACCAAGACCCACTCTTCCAGCCAGGCCTTGGGCCGGCCCTGCTTTCCCTTCGGACAAGGTCTTCAGTCCACCGAGAGGATGGCCCACCTCCTGCCCCTGGGTCAGTGCGCAGCCCCAGGGAGGAGCTGTGTGAACCTGGGAGGTGCTGGGGAGCAAGGGTGCTCCACCAAGGGAGGCAGGAGGCCGGAGACCAGCCCGGCCCAGGAGGAGCCTGGCCAGGAGTCCCACCAAAGCCACTGGACCCGGGGAGCCTCCAGTGACCCAGCCTTGTAGGGTCAGCACTGTCCCTAGGACAGAGTCTGCTTCGTACACAGGTCTCGCTGTCTGTGGAGGCTTCAGGCCCCGATGCCTGGGCACACGGACTGACGGCAACCCTCGGGGTGGGAGGCCCCAGATGGGACTTCCTGGCCTGCCCGGGGTGGCGGGGGGGCGGGTGGGAGAGGACGGAGCGTCTGTGTGCATGTGTGAGAGCCTCAAGGACGGCATGTCTGTGAAGATGGCTTCACCCAGCCGCGGCTGCCTTCCGTGTGTGGGCAGCGGTGACGGAGCCGTGACCTCACGGGACAGCCTTTGCCGTGTGGTTTTCCCGCCTCTGGTCCCTTTCCTGGGCTGAGGATCCTGGCTCTGGGGCTCAAGGTGTGGGGTTCGCCAGCACCGGCTCCTGCCATAGACATCCTGGTGGCCCTGGCACAGGCCTGTCCTCCAGCATGGTTCCTAGACCCACCACGCAGGACTCCTAGGCCCCTGAGGGTTGGCAGGAGTGAGGCAGGCAGTCACCAACTGCCCTTGGGTGAGGCTGGTGGCCAGGGGGGGACCCAGCAGGTGCAAGCCAGGCCATCCCCAGCAGCCGCCGGAGCCCATGTCTTTCCCACCGCACAGCACAGCCAGGACATGGGGGTCAGGCCATTACTTACGCTTCTAGTCCTTACATCACCCACAACTTACCCCTGACCTGTGCCTGGCTGTGGTGCCCGCAGCCTGGGCTCCACATAAACACAGGCCAAGAAGTCCCATCTGCAGCCTCCCACCGCAAAGGTTTCCGGCAGTCCGGGCTCCCCAGGCACCGGCTCTGCAGCCCCCACAGACAGAGAGACCCCTGTGTGAAGTCCGGGCTCCTCAGGCACTGGCCCTGCAGCCCCCACAGACAGAGAGACCTGTGTGTGAAGAATCCGTTTGAGGGACAGTGCTGACCCTCCAGGGCTGGGTCACGGAGGCTCCAGTGGCTTTGGTGGGACTCCTGGCCAGGCTCCTCCTGGACTGGGCCTGGGCTGGTCTCCGGCCTCCTGCCTCCCTTGGTGCAGGATCCTTGCTCCCCAGCTTCCCTGGGAAATCCGACGCCTTCTGATCCTGCATGCATCCGGCACCCCTGACGCTGGCGGAGTTGCCTTTCTGCGTGTATAGCTCCTAACAGGGCAGCACAGCTGTTCTGAAACCTCACACATCATCACTGGGGTGGCTGAGGCTGGGCCACCTGGTGTTCACCTCCTGACCCTGGAACTGTGCAGAGAACCTCTCTTCAAATAGGAGGCAGGTCTTTGTGGCTGTGTTTAAGTTAAAGATCTTGAGATAAGGAGGTCATTCTGGATTAACTCGTTGGCCCTACATGCACGGCAAGTGTCCTTACACAGAGGCAGAGGGAGGTTAGACGCAGACAGAGGAGGAGGTCGCCTGGAGACCGAGGCAGAGGTGCAGCATTGTGGCCGCGGCCCAGGGACGCCTGGAGCCACAGAAGCTGGTGGAGGTGGCAGGGTCCTCCCCTGGAGCCTCTGGAGGGAGCACGGCCCATGGACTCGATTTCAGACCCCTCCCTGCTGAGCGGGGAGAGAATGAGTCCCTGTTGTTTTGAGCTGCCGAGACTGTGGGGATCTGCCATGGCAGCTCCAGGACCCTCAGACCTTCGGCTCAGAGCCCCTCTAGCACTGAGCAAGACGACCACTCAGGGCCGCCCCTCCCCGCCCAGCCAGCATGTGCCTCGCTGCTCACCCGACCACGCAGCCCTCAGTTACAGATGCCTGCCCGGGATACGTGGGACGAGGGCTGCGGCTTCCCTGGGGACGGGGTGCGTGGAGCCTGCCTGCAGCCGTGTTCCTGTTTACGTGCTGAGTGAAGCTGGACCTGGGTGGGATGGGGCATTCTGCCCAAGGGTCTCTTGGGGGGTCCATGAGGACTGTGTTCTGACGATACTGCCCTCCTTCCTGAGGCTGCCGTGGGGCTCCATGGAGGCCATGGGGTGGTGAGGATGGAAGAACACCTAGGCTGGGCTCCTGGGACCCCAGCAGCAGCTGAAGGCACTTGGAGCACCACAATTCCCACCCACGGGCCAGGCAAGCCCAGAACCGTCCCCAAAGAAGGGAGCAAGGAGACACGGCCTTTTAGTGATAATATCATAACCAAAAAGTTCTTTAACATTTTTTCATTTTTTTCTGTCACTCAATATTTTTAAAATTATATGTCCATTTTTTTTATTATTTCACCCATCTAATCATTGCCATCTATACCAAACAAAAAAATCTATGCACCGGTGTTCACAAAGCATTTAAGATGCCTGTGAAATGTAATAAGAACTAACTGCAGCTGCACAATATTCCCTCGTATGTATGTTATCACCATGCTGACGCTGGGCACTCAGAGCATTTAAAGGTTTTTATTATAATG